>NC_000011.10:7029696-7332727 GCF_000001405.40 Homo sapiens | reverse complement strand
TCCACCTCAGCTCTCTGCAAAGCCAACCTGCCTCTCAGGAGCATCCAGCCTGCTGTGCAGACACCTGTCTTTGGTAGCCACAACGCCAAGGCAGCAAGCCAACTCTCACCTAGGAAAGGAGTATGTGGGGTGGGAGGTGAGGGGAAGAGGATCCCTCTTCTCTTTCTCCTTCCTTTTCCTATATCTCAGAGGTCATGGGAGTCAGGGTCCCACCTATGTTCCCATAACCCCTTTCCCATTGTCCTGTCACACTGCAATAGACCCTATTGTTCCCTGCCTACATCCCCTTTGACAAAGCCAGTGCATCCATTCCTTAGCGGCTATGAGCATTGGCTGCGAACAGTTCATGGCTCTATATTTCTTGGGAAAATTCTCCTCAGCTGATGGGAACCATCTTGAAAATGACAGGCAAGTTATACCCTTTCCCAGAGGAGTCCTACAGCCCATGAAAGACTAGCACAGGGTAAAACGGCGGCCCCCTCGTCTCAGGGTGGGATACCTCAGTGGTGCTCTTCACGCTCCAGAGCTCCTTGTGGCATCAGGCTCAGGAAAGGCTTTAGCTGATACACCTTTGCCTCGCTCTCTCCCTTCACCCACCTGCCTCCCTTTCTTCTTTATGGGTTTCACTTGAGGGCAGTCCTTCACTAAGTCACTTGCACGAGAATCCCTCTCAGCTTCTGCTTCCAGGAATTCCAAATTAAGATTCACACGCCATATTGGAGCTATTTTAGTTTCCTTCATTCACCTGTGCACTCAAAAATAATTTTACTATCCACCTCTTAGGTTAAATAATAGGAATATAGTTACAGACTTCCTCTTCAAGGATCAACTATTCTAGTGTGGTAGGCAGAGATACATAGATACTTACAATCTAATGTGGTAACTGTGGTGAAGAGGGACATATAGGATGCTTGAAGAGCACACAAGAAGCATCTCATCTATTCCGGGTGCATATATAGAGGGGTTGCTTAATGAGGACTCCTAATGTAAATAGCTTTTATTTCAGACAGGGTGTCACTCTGTCCCCCAGGCTGGAGCGCAGTGGCACAATCATGGTTCATTGCAGCCTTGACCTCCCTGGGCTTAGGTGATGCTCCCACCTCAGCCCTCCAAGTAGGTGGGACTATAGGCACCCGCCACCATGTCTGGCTAATTTTTGTACTATTACATATTTTTTTTTGGTAGAAACGGGGTTTCACCATGTTGCCCAGGCTAGTCTCAAATTCCTCGGCTTGTGAATAGCCTTTAGTTAAACAAAGAGAAGTGGAAAAGTAAGGTTATTATAGGTAGAGAATGTGTGTGTGATTTCTTACAATACATACAATTAGAGAGAATTAGCTGAAATAATAGAAGGTAATTGGTTGTCTAAAACTTGTGGCAGACATTGCCACTAGATCCTAGTCTTCTCATTTCCTGATCCTTGATATTGCTTGTAAATCCTTCCTAACACAATACATTAGTCAGCTACCACCAGTTGACTGGTATTGGTCCTCAATATAAAAAATCCCTGCTATCCCTTTTGCACATTTTTTAATGTTTTATCTTTACACTTCTCCAAATCTACAAATTTACCTGAATTTGCTCTCATCTTTTTCCTATTAATTCCTATAACAAAGAAAATATTGTCCCCAGCTGGGTGCTGTGGCTCACGCCTGTAATCCCAGTACTTTGGGAGGCTGAGGAGAGTGGATCACTTGAGTCAGGAGTTCGAGACCAGCCTGGCCAACATGATGAAACCCCATCTCTACTAAAAATACAAAAATTAGCTGGGCATGGTGGTGGACACCTGTATTGCTTGAGGTCAGGAGTTCAAGACCAGCCTGGCCAACATGGTGAAACCCTGTCTCTACTAAAAATACAAAAATTAGCCAGGTGTAGTGGTGGGCACCTGTATTCCCAGCTACTCAGGAGGCTGAGGCAGGAGAATCGCTTGAACCCGGGAGGCAAAGGTTGCAGTGAGCCAAGATCACACCACTGCCCTCCAGCCTGGGGAACAAGAGGGAAACTCCATCTCAAAAGAAAATATTGTCCCCTTGTTTATCTAAAGTCAACCTCTACACCTATAGTTTAGATCCTGTTGGCTAACTTCTCAGAGAACTTGCTCTATTGATTATTCTTATCTATTCTATATCTTCCTAGATAGACAGAAATATTTTATATATTCCTGTATCTTCAAACTCGACGGTCACTCTTTTCATTAGATTTTTCTCATTTAATTCTTTATTTTCCTCCTCAAAAAGTGATTTTTAAATTTTTATTTATCTTTGATTTGCAGTTTCACCTCCTCCCAACCCCTCAATTCCCTCATATTGCCCCTTTGTCATCAACGCATCTCCCCATCCCCAAGCCCTGGCAAATGTTGATTTGTTCTCCATCCCTATAATTTTGCCTCTTTCATATAAGGAAAATATGCAGTACGTAGATTTTTGAGTCTTGCTTTTTTTCACTTAGCATTATACCCCTGATATCCATCCATGCTATTGTGTGTATATTATGCACACATTGAGTATTCCTTTCATTGCTGAGTAGCATTCCATTGTATGTATGTAATAGTTTATTGTTTTACCCATTGGAGGACATTTAGGTTGTTTCCAGTTTTTGTCAATTATGAGTAAAGCTGCTATGAACATTCACATATAGGTTCATGGAGAGTTTTTTTTTAAATAAGCATGTTTTAATTTCTCTTATAAATTTACCCTTTTTCAAATTCCACCCAAAATAAGGAAAACAAGGATAGATTTTTATAGAGAAAAATATCGCTATCCCCTGTTATCTTCTTTGAGCTGTGGAATCACCTCCACACATGTTCACAGGAATCCCAACAGAGCTGGCATGCTTTCTCAGCTTTCTTCCCTGTCCTCCCTTTTGTGGACCCAGTGTGACTAAATGAGATGGTGCATTTCAGACTCAGATTCAATAAAAGGTTCCTGAGCATCTCCTTCTGTGCTACTGGGGCAAATGCCACAGCTAACTTAAATTACATTTCTAACCCCTTCATCTGGCCACTTTCCAGCATACAGGCTGAAAAAGCTAAAAATATGCTTTCATTACTTTTCTTGAGTGTGAGGATGGTTTTGTGACAGAGCTTTGTCCAATAAGAAATAAGCGGAGACATTGGGATGACTTTTAGGACTGCTTTCTTTTTCCAGATGAAAAAGAGTCCCTAGAGGTACTTATCACTGCCTTCTTTCCTTGCCACTTTCCTTTTGTCTCAAATGCAGAAGTGACGTCGAGTCATATATTTTATAATTATCTGACTGAAAATACTATATGAGCAGAGAAGTTTAAAGAACTAAAAAGATGTCAAAAGTATGAAAATGGATCAAATAATTATACAAATGAACAAAGTTTTAAGAGTCAAAGCTTCTAGGAATGAAAATTACATCAATTTAAATGAGAAATTCAAGAAATTATTAAGTACTAATTGGAAACTGCTAAAGAAAGAATTAGCGTACTCAAAAACAGATGTAAAGAAATTACCCAGCTGCACTATCAATAGGAAAAAGAATAAACAAACAAACATGGAAGATAGAGTGAATAGGTCTAAAATATCTAAAGAGATTTCCAGGAGGAAAAGATAGAAAGCATCAGGGAGAGACAATATGCAAAGAGATCATGGCTGTGAATTTTCAGAATTGATGAGACACATCAGATTCCTGACACCCTATGAATCCTAAGAAAGATAAACAATAATTTTTAAAAATTCAACACCATTCATACTATAATCAAATTTCAGAGAAGTCTCGAAGTATGGCACAGAGAAAAGAGTGTTACACATAGAGAGCGGTTGATTTCTCAAAACCAGGAGTTTGGAGGCAAGATTCTAAAAGAATAGATACTGAGAAAAAAAATTATCCACACAAGATTTGCATACCTATGTTTTTTTCAGTTATTAATGTGAAATGGTAACATTTCCAAACAAGTAAAAACTGAGAGGGCTAACATCAACAGATCTTTAACTGAAGGAATTTCTCAAAAATGTACTAAACATAAAAAATAATCTAGAAGGAAAGTCTGAAGAAATAGTAAACCAAGAGAAGTGGTAAATATGTGGTAAATTTAAACAATCATTGGCTTTATAAAACATTAATTATAATGTCAAATTGCTGAGTGTAGAAAACCACGGCAAGATAGGAGTAAAATATCAGAAAATAATAGTTATGTCATCTGGAATGGAGGTAACTGGAGTCAAAGGTCCCAAAGTAAAAATATAGTTTTGACGGAGGTTTAATACACTGATTAACTTTTTACTTTATTAAATTAACAACGCATATTGTAATTTCTAGGAAAGTACTAAACAAGTAAAAACAGAGGTTGTATCTTATAAGTTGGTAGAAGGGAGAAAGTAAAATGGGGTCAAAACAATTTAAAAGAAGAAAAATATTTAAAAATTAGAATTTAAATGATGTAAAATGGTAGAAATAAATCCACATGTATTTATAATCACAATGACATAAATATACTAATCTCACTTGTTAGAAGTCAATGATTTTCAGAATGGATTTAAAAAAAATCCAGCTATACTTTGCTTACAACATTTACACTTAAAATATAAGGATGTAGGAAATTTGTAAGTTAAAAAAATAGAAATATACAAGACAAAACTAAAAGAAAAATTTTTTTTAAAATTATTATTATTATTATTATTATTTTTAATTATACTTTAAGTTTTAGGGTACATGTGCACATTGTGCAGGTTAGTTACATATGTATACATGTGCCATGCTGGTGCGCTGCACCCACTAACTCGTCATCTAGCATTAGGTATATCTCCCAATGCTATCCCTCCCCCCTCCCCCCTCCCCACCACAGTCCCCAGAGTGTGATATTCCCCTTCCTGTGTCCATGTGATCTCATTGTTCAATTCCCACCTATGAGTGAGAATATGCGGTGTTTGGTTTTTTGTTCTTGCGATAGTTTACTGAGAATGATGGTTTCCAATTTCATCCATGTCCCTACAAAGGACATGAACTCATCATTTTTTATGGCTGCATAGTATTCCATGGTGTATATGTGCCACATTTTCTTAATCCAGTCTATCATTGTTGGACATTTGGGTTGGTTCCAAGTCTTTGCTATTGTGAATAATGCCGCAATAAACATACGTGTGCATGTGTCTTTATAGCAGCATGATTTATAGTCCTTTGGGTATATACCCAGTAATGGGATGGCTGGGTCAAATGGTATTTCTAGTTCTAGATCCCTGAGGAATCGCCACACTGACTTCCACAATGGTTGAACTAGTTTACAGTCCCACCAACAGTGTAAAAGTGTTCCTATTTCTCCACATCCTCTCCAGCACCTGTTGTTTCCTGACTTTTTAATGATTGCCATTCTAACTGGTGTGAGATGATATCTCATAGTGGTTTTGATTTGCATTTCTCTGATGGCCAGTGATGATGAGCATTTTTTCATGTGTTTTTTGGCTGCATAAATGTCTTCTTTTGAGAAGTGTCTGTTCATGTCCTTCACCCACTTTTGGATGGGGTTGTTTGTTTTTTTCTTGTAAATTTGTTTGAGTTCATTGTAGATTCTGGATATTAGCCCTTTGTCAGATGAGTAGGTTGCGAAAATTTTCTCCCATGTTGTAGGTTGCCTGTTCACTCTGATGGTAGTTTCTTTTGCTGTGCAGAAGCTCTTTAGTTTAATTAGATCCCATTTGTCAATTTTGGCTTTGGTTGCCATTGCTTTTGGTGTTTTGGACATGAAGTCCTTGCCCACGCCTATGTCCTGAATGGTAATGCCTAGGTTTTCTTCTAGGGTTTTTATGGTTTTAGGTCTAACGTTTAAATCTTTAATCCATCTTGAATTGATTTTTGTATAAGGTGTAAGGAAGGGATCCAGTTTCAGCTTTCTACATATGGCTAGCCAGTTTTCCCAGCACCATTTATTAAATAGGGAATCCTTTCCCCATTGCTTGTTTTTGTCAGGTTTGTCAAAGATCAGATAGTTGTAGGTATGTGGCGTTATTTCTGAGGGCTCTGTTCTGTTCCATTGATCTATATCTCTGTTTTGGTACCAGTACCATGCTGTTTTGGTTACTGTAGCCTTGTAGTATAGTTTGAAGTCAGGTAGTGTGATGCCTCCAGCTTTGTTCTTTTGGCTTAGGATTGACTTGGCGATGCGGGCTCTTTTTTGGTTCCATATGAACTTTAAAGTAGTTTTTTCCAATTCAAAGGATCAACAAAATTGATAGACCGCTAGCAAGACTAATAAAGAAAAAAAGAGAGAAGAATCAAATAGGCACAATAAAAAATGATAAAGGGGATATCACCACCGATCCCACAGAAATACAAACTACCATCAGAGAATACTACAAACACCTCTACGCAAATAAACTAGAAAATCTAGAAAAAATGGATACATTCCTCAACACATACACTCTCCCAAGACTAAACCAGGAAGAAGTTGAATCTCTGAATAGACCAATAACAGGAGCTGAAATTGTGGCAATAATCAATAGTTTACCAACCAAAAAGAGTCCAGGACCAGATGGATTCACAGCCGAATTCTATCAAAGGTACAAGGAGGAACTGGTACCATTCCTTCTGAAACTATTCCAATCAATAGAAAAAGAGGGAATCCTCCCTAACTCATTTTATGAGGCCAGCATCATTCTGATACCAAAGCCGGGCAGAGACACAACCAAAAAAGAGAATTTTAGACCAATATCCTTGATGAACATTGATGCAAAAATCCTCAATAAAATACTGGCAAAATGAATCCAGCAGCACATCAAAAAGCTTATCCACCATGATCAAGTGGGCTTCATCCCTGGGATGCAAGGCTGGTTCAATATACACAAATCAATAAATGTAATCCAGCATATAAACAGAGCCAAGGACAAAAACCACATGATTATCTCAATAGATGCAGAAAAAGCCTTTGACAAAATTCAACAACCCTTCATGCTAAAAACTCTCAATAAATTAGGTATTGATGGGACGTATTTCAAAATAATAAGAGCTATCTATGACAAACCCACAGCCAATATCATACTGAATGGGCAAAAACTGGAAGCATTCCCTTTGAAAACTGGCACAAGACAGAGATGCCCTCTCTCACCGCTCCTATTCAACATAGTGTTGGAAGTTCTGGCCAGGGCAATCAGGCAGGAGAAGGAAATAAAGGGTATTCAATTAGGAAAAGAGGAAGTCAAATTGTCCCTGTTTGCAGACGACATGATTGTATATCTAGAAAACCCCATCGTCTCAGCCCAAAATCTCCTTAAGCTGATAAGCAACTTCAGCAAAGTCTCAGGATACAAAATCAATATACAAAAATCACAAGCATTCCTATACACCAACAACAGACAAACAGAGAGCCAAATCATGAGTGAACTCCCATTCACAATTGCTTCAAAGAGAATAAAATACCTAGGAATCCAACTTACAAGGGATGTGAAGGACCTCTTCAAGGAGAACTACAAACCACTGCTCAAGGAAATAAAAGAGGATACAAACAAATGGAAGAACATTCCATGCTCATGGGTAGGAAGAATCAATATCGTGAAAATGGCCATACTGCCCAAGGTAATTTACAGATTCAATGCCATCCCCATCAAGCTACCAATGACTTTCTTCACAGAATTGGAAGAAAAATTTTTAAACTTTATAAATGCCAAAGAACACTTGAAGGCCTAAAAAGCATTTCTCTATATAGAGACACTAAATAATAACAAAATGTTGAAAAGACCAGACATATATAAAAAGTACTAATATCATATTTTTACATATATACATTAAGCAGAAATTTTGATAGAACTAAAGATGAAATTGAAAATCCACCATCATAGTAGGAGATGAAAAACACATTTTATCAATAACTGATATATTAGACTGAGGAAAAATATTATTCAAGATGTAGATATGAGTGAGACATAATCTTTTCAAGAGCACCTAGCACATTTATAAAAACTGATGTGTAAGAGAACATAAAGCAAATTTGAACAGATATCAAATAATCTATAAAATACACTCCATATTATCCAATCACATTTTTAATTAAGTTACAGAAATAATGCTTAAAAAAACTATGCAATATGAAATTTTAAAAACACACCTTTAAACAATATATAGACCAAAGAAAAACTCATATTTGATGCTAGAAGATGCTTAGATAAAAATAAAAATGAAAACACTAAATATCAAAATTTGCAAACATAAAGCTAAAGCACTACTTCAAGGGAAATTTATAGTCTTAAATGCATATTTTAAAAAAGTTTTTAAAAGACTGCAAATTACTAACCTAAAGATATAAGTAATTATTAAAAATATCAACTGAATAGACTAAAGAAAAAAGAAAGAAAATCATACAGGAAAAATAATGGAAAACAAAAATTAAATAGAATTAATAGAATTAAAAGTTGGTTATTTGAAAAGGCCAATAAGACTGATAAACTCCAGTGACACTGATCAATGAGAAAGTGAACAGGGATAAATAATCTATATTAGAAATGAGAATAAGGACATAACCAGAAATAAGGCAGAAATAAGAAGAAAAAATTATGAAGAACTTTAAGACAATACATTCAAAACATAGATGAAATAAGCAAATTTCTAGAAAAATCTAAATCACCAAAATCAATTCTCAATGAAATAAAAAATAATTTGGTATTATAATCATCAAATAAATTGAATTAATTTCCCCTAAAGTAAATATCTGACCCAGAAAGTTATACTAGAAAGTTCTACTAAACATTGACAGAAAAGATTATTTCAATCATACACAAAATGACACAAAATCTTTAAGAGACTAGGAAAAGAGATAATGTGCCATAACTCATTTTTAAGGCTTGTACACCTTTAATAATAAAATGCAGATTAAGAGAGAAAAAAAAATCACAGTTTGATCTCACTCACAAGTTTAGTCACAAAATTTTTAAAATATTAGCAAACCAAATAGCTGAACACACACACGCATACACACACACATTCATGTATATCCATGTATATAAAAAAGCAACACATTGTGAACAAGTTGGATTTATCTCAGAAATACAAGTTTTCATAAAAAGTATAAAATATAGCAATATAATTTATTACTTTAAAAGATAAAAGGAACAAAACACATGATTCTCTCAATAGATACAGAAAATCAACTGATAAAATTCAATATCCATTCAGGTTTTCAAAAAGTCTATAGCCAATGTCCTACTTAGTGATGAATAATCAAAGCATTTTTTTCAAGAACAGAAACAAACCAAGGTTTACTCCACTGGCATTTGTATTGGTGATTGTAATAAATGTAATAAAACAAGCAAAAAAGATGAGGTAGGGAGAGCAAGCAAAATAATTAAAAAAGAAAGAAGAAACAAAATTGTCCTTATTCATGCATAGTATTATTGTGAATGTACAAAACTCAAAAGAATCTGTGGTCAAATTATTAGAATTATAGTGTATAGCAAGTCCAAGTGTTAGAGAGAACATAGTCTAAGATGGTCTCAAATACTGCTAGTGGGATTGTAAGTGGTCAAACTTCTTAGAGATACAATTTACTTCAACCTAGCAACTCCATTCCTAGGTATATACTTTACAGAAATTCCTGCATGTATTTACCAGGAGACACATACAAGAAAGATTAATAGCAGCATTTTCTGAAATAGAAAAAAACTTAAAATTAATTCAAATAACCATTGACAGAAGAAAGATAAATTGTTGTAGACCATATAATATGGAATGCTAAAATCATGCTGCAAAACAACAAAAAAGAACTAGTTATGTACATGAACATAAATTATTTTAATACACATAATATTGAACATAACAGTTTGCAGAAGAACAAACACAATATAGTATCTTTCACATAAATTTCAACAATAGGCAAAACTGAATAGCCTATTCTTAAGTGGTAAAATGATTTTTAAAAACAGGGAATTATACATATAAAATTCAGTATACAGATAATCTCTTAGGGGGATTTGGAGGAGCGGCACATAGGAAGCTTCAAAGAGACTGATAATGTTCTCTTTCTTCAGCTAAATTCTGGACTGACTGATGTTTACATATTGGCTAATATATTGGTGGTTCATATCTTGATGGTATATATTTTATTAAAAAAACCAAACACTTTGTCCTGGCACCCTCACTAGAATAAAAGCTATTAAAGTCTCTTCGTCAGAGACCTGTAGCTTCATCAATCCCTTCCTTCAGTTGTGCTGTTCTACAGTGCTGCCACTTTTCACTCCCTCTGAATAATCTAGACATCAAGGGGATAACATGTCTGAGGGATCACAAGTGGGAAAAATGATAGGGTGAGATTCAGTGGACTCTCATAAAGATACAGCTCAGTAGACCCTAGTGGTATCCAGACTTCACCCACATTATAGAAGGAACCTGGCTTCCCTCTTGGCAGCTGGAAACCATGGCTTTCTGTGGTGTTTTTCGAGTTGCTTGTCCCTTAGGATCAGTTAAGCAGCCGGTCCTTTTTGCATTTTCAGCACTACGTGTAGTGGTGTCCTGGAGCTGGCTCCTATAAGCTGGCAGCAGCCTGGGGAGTCAATTGTGGGTGAGCATCTCTTGCCAACTCTGCTTTCAGTGATGTCACATTGGCAACTTGAAATCAGCCCTGCTGGGAGTATTTACAACCCAGGAATCACCAAATGCTAAAATCAGGTCCCCTTCCTTCCCCCATCCCTGCCCCACAACGAGTTGTTAAGCATCTACCAGGACACCACCGAATGTAACACAACCTTAAAATCATACGGAGGTAGGACACAAGCAGGACTTATTTCCCACTGGGATGAAGTGAAGGAACCAGCAAGAGCCAGCAGATAGCAAGGAAAGTGATCCCTAGTTGCCCTCATTGCTCATTTACATCATACACTCCTACCAGCACCATGACAGTTTACAAATGCCATGGCAACAACCCAGAAGTTACCACCTTTCCATGGCAATGACTCAGAAGTTACTGACCCTTTCCTAGAAAGTCCTAAATAACCCACCCCTCTATTTGCATTAACCCGCCCTTTAATTTGTATGTAATTGGAAGTGGGTATAACTGGGTATATATTCAGTTGCCAACAGCTCATACATTGCTGACTCTGGGCACACTGCCTATGAGTTACCCCTGCTCTGCATGGAGCAGTACTGTTCAATAAAAGACTGCTGTCAAACATTACTGAGTTGCCCTTGAATTATTTCCTGGGTGAAGCCAAGAACTCTCCTGGGCTAAGCCCCAGTTTTGGGGCTCACTTGTGTTGCATCAATATAATAATCACATATGACTTATGGTACAATGAAATGAAAAGGGATTCAAATTAATAAATATCTTCAATCACAGAGCCTGCCTGCCCCATTTGTATTCGACTATGAAGAGCAAGCACTCTGGACTTCCCTGAATACTTATATTCCCCCTGCCTGGGTGGTTCCAGGTGTCCACCTCCATCAGGTCTGCGAGTGGCCTCAGGCCTTTGGGAGACAGAACAGGAAAGTCTCCAAATCAGTCACTACAAAATAACAAACCTTGCTGAAATAAGAGTTTTAAGTTCTTAACATTAAAAGAAAGTCTATGCTGTTGTAAACTGTGTCCTTGCCTCTTCTGAACTGGAATCTGTATTGGCATAGAGGGAAATTCATTACTTCTACTGTCATTACATGAGAACTGTGGCATCTTCTCCAAATCAGAGTCTAACTGAGGTGATCATAGCTCCCAGAGACAGTCTCCGAACCAGTTTCTAAGCCAACCACCAAGAAAGAGATTCCTGAAGTGCTTAATGCCTACTTTTTCAGAAAGCCACTAGTAAGTGGGGTATACTAAAAATGCCAAGAGGATCGTCCTGACAGACAACATTAACCCAGAACACTGGACTCATAGTCTCCGAAATTTTGACCTTCCCCCTTGATGCTGTCTTCTCTCTTGCTGACTGATAAAATCCTCACAAAGATGTATTGTACTATTATTGATCTGGCTTCAGTAGTTGAGAGGTTTAATTACACCATCATTTTTACACTCAATAATTGCCGTTTTGTTCTTTCATAGGAAAGCATGAGGATTAATTTTTATTTGAGTGCCAACATTTATAAAACTCACACTCTCCTTGGAGAAACAAAGAATTTTTTAAAAAAGATTAGTTTATGAGTTCAGTTCTGCATAACAGCCTCCAACTCAAGCAGTCCCTAGAGACTCAACAAATTAGTCCCTCATAAGGAGTTTCACTTTATGCAGCAAGTGCTTATTAAATATCTAACTTTCAGACACCATTCTAGAGGTTGAGCACCCAGCAGGAAGCAAACCAAATGTGGGTTTTGCACTTATAGAAAGAAAATTGAACAAATACACAAAAGAAGCATGAGTAATGATAGAAATACAGAGTGTCATGGAAACAAATGCCAGAAAAACCTACACTAGTCCAGGGCTCAGAAAAAGAGTTCTCTGAGGAAATGGCACATAAGCTGGGATTTAAGAGCTTAGTGGGAGTTAGCCAGGTAAAGAGGGGAAGGAGAAGTAAACCAGTGTATATGATCATTTTGAGCCACCTTTTCCTGCACAGACTGAAATGATTATTTAAAAAACTTGGTCTTAATTTTGATTTGGCTATTATTCAGCTATGTAACCTCAGCTGAATGTCCTAATGGCCATTCATCTCAGCTTTATCTGCTAGATTGAAGGACCTCTAAAGTTCTACTCAATTGAAAGACAAATATATAATACACAGATTACTACTCAGTTAGTATAAGCAAAATGGCTTTTTAAAAATAAGCTTTGAGCCATATAGCAGTGTTTCTTGCAATAGGTTTGAATACTCACAGAAACTCCTTCAGGTAAAAATACTAGATTAAAAAATTCTTCTTAATGTGTAGCAGAGCTGACGGACCAGAAAGAGAATTTTTCAGTGGACAGAAACAACAAGAAAGCATTAATCCACAGAGGTAAGTAAACTCTGCAGCTGGAGCTTGAATGGAGGTAAATGTGAGTCTCTGGTGGCTTAGCTTCTGGCATTCAGAGGACTGCAGAGCCTGAGAGTCACATCGTTAAAGGATAAACAACACAGAACTTCTCCCCTGCTTATTAAACAGATATTATCCCCAACATCATGCCTGTCTTAGACTTGCTTTGTGTAAAAAAGAAACAAAAGTCCCCTCAGCCAGTTTCTAACCATTAATACAAACTTGCACTACCATAAGAAAACTACTGTTTCTAGCTGCATTTGACTTAATACTGACAATTCGCATTGTTATGCATTTAAAACATTCATACCCAAATTACCACTGAGCTAGTGTTATGGGGTCTGTGGTAATTACGGTTTTATTCCTATACAAAGGAATATATATTAGACCAAATGTCAACTTCTCAAAAACAATTGGAGGTCAGAAGACAATGAAATGATAGTTTTATAATGGCAAAATCAAAGTAACTCAGTTTTGTGCTCCCAAATTGTTATTCCCAGACAATCTTTTAAGAATAAAAGCAAAATAAAGGCATATTCCAGAGTTGTGGCTTTCAGTTGAAAGTTATTGCCAGCCTACAGATACCTCAAGAAATAGCCCTGGGCGACAAAGCAAGACTCAGTCTCAAAAAAAAAAAAAAAAAAAAAAGAAAAAGAAGAAAAGAAAAAAAAAAAGAAGAAATAGGGGAATGAATATCCTGACCCCACTCTCCTCCCTTTCTCATTGTCTGAACCTAAGGAGAAGTCAGAAACTAGGGGCATTCTTCCAGTTTGAAGAAAGATACACAAAAACCCCAAAGCCTTCAGGGACACTGAGCAGGAACAAATAGCAGGCATCCAAAATAATGCCCCAAACTAACTTTATAAAGCAAGAATTACCTCGATTCCAAGCCAGACAAGGACAGTACAAGACAGCATATTACATGCATCACTCATGAGCACAGAAGAAATAAAATGCTAAATGAAATATTATCAAACTGAACTCAGCAGTGTAAAGAAAATGTACTATATCAAGATCAGTGTGGATCATTCTAGGAATATAAGATTGGCTCAAAATTAGAAAATCAATCAATGTAATTGACCAAAATAGCAGATTAAAGGAGTAAAAAAAACCTCACTGGATTATAGCATACGATAAAACAATTACGTGTGATAAAAAGGCTTACTCAACTCTGAATAGAGTAAAACATTCTTAATATGAATATATCCACAAAATATACATAGCTAAGGCTGGGCGCGGTGGCTCATGACTGAAATCCCAGCACTTTGGGAAGCCAAGGCCGGCAGATCCACTGAGGTTAGGAGTTTGAGACCAGCCTGGCCAACATGGTGAAACCCCGTCTCCACTAAAAATACAAAAATTAGCCAGACGTGGTAGTGGGCGCCCGTAATTCCAGCTACTCAGGAGGCCGAGGCAGGAGAATCACTTGAACCCTGAAGGCAGAGGTTGCAGTGAGCCTTGATTGCGCCATTGCACTCCAGCCTGGGTGACAAGAGCAAAATGCCATAAAAAAAAAAAGGCATTAATGAGTTCTACAAGACTGCCAAATAGAAGATATATTAACATAAAGAATTTTAACTATACACTAGCAATAGTTAGAAAATGAAATTTTAGAGAAGATAACATTTAAAAGAACAAAAAGTAATGTACCTAGCAATAAATCTAACAAGAGACATGCAAGATCTTAACGTAGAAAATTATAGGCTTTGAATAAAAAACTTTAAAGAAGAAATAAGTAAAAGAATAAGTAAATGGAGAGATATACTATGGTCACGTGTAGAAAGACTCAATATCACAAAAGATATAAAATTTTCATGAATTAATCAATAGACTTCATACAAATCCAAATACCAGAGAGGGTGTTTAACTTGGCAATGTGATTCTAAAATGTGTGAGAAAAGTCAAGTACCAGCCAAGGTTGAACTAAGATAGAGGTAGGCTGGATGATTTGCCCTTCCAGATGTTAAGGCTTATCATAGAACAATAGTAATTTGCAAATTGTGCTATTCATAGAGATAGTTAAACATCCCAGTGGATAGAAAAGAGAATCCAGAAACAGGTTGTGCATATACAGAAATCTACATAGGACAGAGCATACAGTGCATATTATTGGGAAAATATGCCAGAAAATTTTTTGCCCATATAGAAAAATAAATATGGATATGTTATGGACTGAATGTTTTTGTCCCTCCCAATTTATATATTGAAACCCTAATCCCCAGTGTGATTGTGACAGTATTTGGAAATGAAGCTTTTGGGAGGTAATCAGGTTTACATGAGGTCATGAGGGTGGGGCCCCCATTGTAGGATTAGTGTCCTTATAAGAAGAGGAAGAGAGACTAGAACCAGAGCTCTCTCCCTCTCTCTGTCACATGAGGGCACAGTGAGAAGGTGAGCCAGGAAGAGAGCCTCACCAGGAATGGAGTCTGCTGAAACTTGGTCTTGGATATCCCAGGCTCCAGAACTCTAAGAAATAAATATCTATTGTTTAAGTTGCCCAGTTTATGGTATTTTGTTATGGCAGCCCAAGTTGACTGATATATGATGCCTATATAACACTATGTAAACATTTCCATTCTAGATGGATTAAAATCATAATTGAGGAAGACAAAACCTTAACACTTCTAATAGAAAGCATAGGAGAAATATCTTTCCTGACATAGGGTAAGGAAGTACTTCTTAAGTAGGACACAAATGCGCTAATTTACAACAGAAAATCCTGATACATTTTATTACACCAAACATAACCTCTATTTATCAAAGACACCATAAAGTGAATACAAAGACAGCCATAAACTGAGAGATGATGTTTGTAAAACACATAACCAACAAGGGATTTGCATCCCAACTGCTTAAAAAGCCTATGTGAATCAACAAGGAAAGGAAAACAAAAGAATAAGTGCTGAACAAGAATTTTCACAAGAAAGAAAACATGAATGACCAATAAACATATCAAGAGATGGTCAAACCGGACAACTGAAGAAATGCCAATAATATATCATTTTGCATACATGCACACACATACATTGATCAGTGTGGCAACTGCAAGAGTTGGAGAGAAAGTGGAACACTAGGGATCATCACATTTCAACAGTGGAAGGATCAATTTGTGATACGTGCAAATGACTGAAAAAGACTGTCATTATCTAGAAAAGCTGAACACATGTATACCTTACCTCTATCAGGGATAAACTCTAGAGAAATGATTGCATATGTGAACCAAAAGATGTGTACAAAATCTCTGCGATATTATTCAGAATCACAGAAAAACTAACATCCTGAATGTCATCAGTACAAGAATGCAAATTTGTCATATATTAATATTAATACAATGGAATATTATATAGCAATGAAGATACATAAGCCACAGCTGCTCTGCTTATTTCTATTACTAAATGCCATAATCAATGTTGACCAAAGAAAAAAAGCTAGTCAAAGAAGAGCAATAAAATGCCAAAATAGACAAAACCCAAACCCATATTGTCATATGTATATGCATATATATTTTTTATATGATGATATAAGTAAAATTAAAGATAGTGGTTTTCTCTTGGCAGGACTGGACTGAGAGGGAATGCAATAGAGGACAATTCAAGGGTCAATAGAAGTAATGTTCTATTCTTCAACTAAATGGTGGGTTCAGGCCTGTTCATTTAATTTTTCCTTCATTAATCCATTTATTATATTTACTATATTATATACATTCTATATTATAAAAAGAGAATCATGGCAAATCTCAGCTCTTTATGTTCAGTCTCTATACAAAAAAAAACCCCACAACCCCAAATAACATTTTTTAAAATGGAATGTAATAATATGGCAGACTATGAAATAGCCTGTAATTCCATTGACAGGACCTACCCTCTCCCGTGGCCATCCAAAGGCTTAGATCAATGCTCAGAAGATTTATTGTTTGCCTGAGGAAACAACTGAGAAATCTGAAGCCTGTAGCTTTATTGGTTTTCCTCCCTGATAAATAATTTCACATTCTCCTTAACCCTATGGAAATCCAGGATTTTCCAACAATGGAAAAGAAACTCTTACTCCCAAGAGAATGCTGAAATGGCAGTGATCTCAGGGCCAGAAGGTCTCCATCACCTGCCACTCCATATTCTTGTTCCACAGGAACCTGTCCTAGGAGTCGTTCCCACCAGGGATCATCAGCCTTATCCAGATTTGTATCAGCCACTGCGCAGTCAACGTTGCTCTCACCACAAAGTCTCTAAAGGCAACTCTCAGCAAGATCCTCGTTGAACTTTCTAATAACCTCTCCAGCTATTTTATGGAATCCATTTGTCAAAAAGTATAAATTGATGTCTCATTAGATGGTGTGACCAACACCTCCCTACCATACCTGAGATGAGACTTAAGTTCAAGGCACCTCACTGCAGCTGGCAGTGTCTCAGCTCCCATAACCAGGGAGACTTAGTAAATACCCCAGTGGGGGGTGATGCCTGAGCCATTCGTATCTTTGTATAAGCAGCCTTCCCATTTTGTTTCTTTAAACCTTCTCATGTTGCTTCCTGATTTTGTCAGTTGGGATTTGGGAGACAAGCCTTGCTTTCCCCAGCATCCATTGTTGGGTTTATGTGTATTATTATCTTTTAAGATAAAGAGACCTATTCCTTCCCCAGTATCCCAAATCACCTTGGTTTCATCAACTGCTATTCTCTGCACCTTATCCAGCTCCAACTCCTTTCTTTCTTTCCTCATGATTATGATAAAGGCCAGCAGACTCCCATGCTACATTTTGTTTATTTGGATAGCAGCACAAAGTTGGCACTGGAACCCTGTGGCATGTGGAGAGAAGGTGTCCCACAGGGCAATCAGAGCATGGGTGAGTCCCTAGTTCATAAAAGTGGCTGAGGATAAGAGGGTACTGGTGCAGGTATTTGGTCATTAGGCAGAGATTAGTCTTTCACTAAATAGGCTCCAGACTCAAGCTGAATCAGTGTCTGAGCTGAATAAAGACGGTGGTGCTTGGTCCATTTGGATGCCATGGCAGAGAAAGAGAGCTACGCTGGCCTCAGAATAGCTCATATCCAGGAAGAGGAGCTAACAAAGTTATCTCAGGGAATTTGGACAGGTGAAAGAAACAAGTGGCTTTAAAATATCAGAGTTACCTAAGAATGTTCAATTTTCCTTTCTATTTCTGGAATGCCAACACACCTCTGCAGGATAATGAAAAGGATATAAATGGAGTAGAAATATCACCTCTGAAATCTTGTGTTTAAAATGTAGACATAGACGTATGGTACCACTACATAGCACCTTTGACTTCTCTCCTGAGCCCTAAATTGGATGTGACTGTCGATAGATTAGTTTTGCCATTATCTATAGTTTCTTTTCAGACTTCCCTCCTTGTAACTTGGATTTTGTGAGTTTTACATTTAAAAATGTGTTGCCAACTCTTCTCAACCACTCCCACTGGTAGGGTTGAAGCTGAGGATCCAATCATGGGAAATGCTCTTGAGCCAACCTCAGAAGACAGGTAAGTACCTACTGCTGTCAGAGTCAGGTAATGGTCTCTTAGCTGCAGACTACAGTTAATAGAATGCCAGGTTCCATTCAGCACAAACAACCTGAAAAAGCTCTAAAGAAAATGTGGTACGGAGGACAGATAACACCTGCTGTCTCTTAGGGGCTAGCTAAGAATCTGAAAGTAGAAAAGAGAGAATGTTATTCTTTAATATTGTTTTCATGGAATAATGCTTGGAAACTTCAAAATCAATATTGTTAAAACCCTGTTTCTGAAAAGGTACAAGGAGGTTCTGAAATAACTGCTACATGTACATTGACAGGAATTTTACACTTTGTCCTCAAGATAATGTGTAAGTAATCTGTTTCCTTGCTAACCAAGATGCCCCCCACCACAAAAATGAAGAAATGCTGGACTCACATTGGTGACATATTCGATATCCTTCCAAAGGATGCACTCCCTGGGGAAATCAGCCAAGTCTAGGAAGTGATCCACCACCACTTGGCCGATTAAGTCATGACGAGAGAACCTGTCAAAGTCGTACACAGAGAAGTGAAGCTTCCGTGCTTCAAGGTCATTGTAGGGAACCGGAAATAAAAACACTTCATCAAACACAGGGTTCAGGGTCTTTCTGTGAACTTTAGTCTGGTGTTTTGTTTTCCGATCAGGAAGCAAATAGATCTTGACATAAGGATCTGAAGTCCCAGAAAAGTCCTTGGCGGGCAAATTGACAGCTTTGTGAATCTTCACTATGAGCTGCTCTAAGTCACAGTCATATTTTAAAATGAAGTTCAGTTTCCCACAAGCCTTGCTGTTACTCCGTCTCCCGTCATCATTATCCAATGACCTCTGCTTATATAACTCTGGTTTAATTCTACCAATTCCAGTCAACTGTTCCTGTTTTTGAAGCTGCTGGATATTGAAGTCCGGGTTTGACAAGTTGAGTTGTCTTCGGATTGAATTATGCCTTGAATGAAGAGCAACACAGAACAAAGTTATAACCTTATTAGCTATGGGTCTCTCAGAAACTTTTGCCTGGGATGTAGGTAGACTGTTATATTTTGTCAGGAGCTTAGATCTGTGGGCCTTTTTTGTGTGTGTGTGGCCTAAATTCAAAATGCTCATCAGTGTGAGTAAGCTGCTCCGTAAGGCTTGAAGCTCACAACTGAGGCTTGGTATCAGGAAATGAACCTAGTAACATGTGACCTCAGAGCTTTAAAGGTTTAATATAGTTCCTAAACTGTCTAATATGCCATTAAAGAAGCTTATTCCTCTGGTGGAATGTAAAGATTTGTACAAACTGCTTTAAAAATAAAATTATTCAACTTTATATATAATATAATTCTGAAATTGAAATAGCCAAGTGTTGCCTTAAGAAGAATGAATCTTTCTCTAAATTACACAGAATTTCTTGCCACTGGCTTATAGCTTTATAAGGATATAAATTCTTACTGGTTCAAATCAAATCATTTCATCACAAGAACACAGCTTTTGCTCATGCAAAAATGTATATGACTGGGATGTGTCTGCATGCAGTGGATTGTGGTGGCTCTGACAGGTAGAAGTGACATAATTGGGATTGTGCTTTTGCTGTACACATGGGTGATTAGTGATCAAGAGGACAGGTTTTATTTCT
Source organism: Homo sapiens (assembly GCF_000001405.40). NCBI lineage: Eukaryota > Metazoa > Chordata > Mammalia > Primates > Hominidae > Homo > Homo sapiens. Next base: position 7,312,725 of record NC_000011.10, on the reverse strand, counting down.
GAAATAAACACTAATGGCTCAAAAATTAAAGATGAGCTACTATAAATGCATGTAGGGATTCAACTGGAGATGGCTGGATACTGATACTCCAAACTAAATATTTGCAACTGTAGTATAGTCTTCTTCACCCTGTAAGTGTATTGGTTTGGGTTAGAAGTTTCCCTAAAATTCTCTTTAAAGCCTGTCTGATCTGTGTGTGTCTTCCCAAGTTGAGAGAAGTAGTTATCACATACAAGGTTGTTTTTAAGGTTACTTTTGTTGTTTTTAGCTCAGAGTTTAGAGTCATTATATTGTATTGTATGCATTCGCTCAACAACCTTAATTAAAATAGCCTCTTTACTAGAAGGTGAAAGAGAACAGCTGGGATGTCTCTTAGGGATTGGTAAACAGTTGGAGAGGCAGAGTAAACATTTGAATTTGCCCTTCTCTTCCTTTCTTCAGACAATGAAATAAAGACGTAAAAATGGAATTAAGGGACCCCCAGACACATTTGAAAGTATTCTCCCTTGTCACCACAGATATTGTTATGCTGAGCATTCCTCTTTATCCTAAAATAGCCTCCTAATCACTAATCACCCACCTGGTATGACAAGAGTACCGTCACAGAGCTGTCACTGGTACCTGTCACATCTAACACAGTCCATAGCAAGCAGACATAGCCCAGTCACATACATTCCCACATGCACAAAAACTTTGTGATCTGAGAGTTGCTGAAGGGAGATTTTAATCTCTTTTAGAGAAATCCACACTCTTAAGGTTTCTCTGTATTTTATGATGTGGGTGGGCGGGGGAGGGAAGGCAGGAGTTGCTGTTAAGCATCTAAAACTGGCTTTCTGAGCTAGTGCAGCCAGATCACTCCCTTGTCCAGAAGTGGAACCAATGTAGTGCTAGAATAGAGCTTGAGTCTCACTTTACTGGACTCTGTGGGCAGAAAGGACTGGGAGGCAGCAGAAAGTAACCTGCCATATGCAGAGGTCAGAATAGGCTGGTGCCAGCCCTATTTCCCTCTGCTATTGAGTTTTCTTTACAAAAGAAACATTTTTTCTTCAAAAAATGTCCATAATTGGGTCCTGCATCAGTTCCCACCCTTCTGGGTACTGTCTAGTAAGTGGTGCTGTTTACATGATAAAAGTGCATCCTCAATATCCACTGGATGCTCCTCCTCCAGATGAGTCTGTGGTGGACCAACAATTCTGTGTCTACACAATCCAGTCCCAGACAATAATCTCATGTCAGCCCTAGGCCCTGTCACTCTGCTGCTCCGCAGATGGTTGCTGGGCAGACTGTGCATTACAATTTCCCTTTGAATTTTCTTAGTACTGGCATTCGATTCATCACAGCAACATTTTGTCTTCACCCTTGTCTGTAGGACTAAATCTACCATAGTGGTTTTGCTTTTTGTTTGTTTGTTTTTTAGTTTTTTAGATGAAGTGTCACTGTTGTCAACTGGGGCTGAAGTGCAATGGCGCGATCTCGGCTCCCTGCAACCTCCACCTCCCGGGTTGAAGCAATTCTCCTACCTCAGCCTCCCAAATAGCTGGGATTACAGGCATGCGCCACCACACCTGGCTAATTTTGTATTTTTAGTAGAGACAGGGTTTCTCCATGTTGGTCAGGCTGGTCTCGAACTCCCAACCTCAGGTGATCCACCCAACTTAGCCTCCCAAAGTGCTGGGATTACAGGCGTTAGCCACTGTGCCTGGCCACCATAGTTTTAATTTTAATTTAAAATACATGGATTTGGCTACTTAGTAGTGTGACATATTCTGTTCTACATGTACATTTTCTTAGACATGAAATCTGAAGATAAATTGTCCCACATGCTCAGCTCTTCCTAACCAAAGTGGATTGCCAGCAGGGAGGCGGGGGTTGTTGATGTAGTTCAAAGACTGAAGAAAGATCCCATTCCCTGAGAACCCAATTGCACAGGAATCCCTCCAAAAATTCCCAATACAGCTGACCTCTTAAAAACCAATCACAAGCCGGGTGCAGTGGCTCATGCCTGTAATCCCAGCACTTTGGGAAGCCAAGGTGGGCGGATCACGAGGTCAGGAGATCGACACCATCCTGGCTAACACAGTGAAACCCCATCTCTGCTAAAAATACAAAAAAGTAGCCAGGCGTGGTGGCAGGCACCTGTAGTCCCAGCTACTTGGGAGGCTGAGGCAGGAGAACAGCGTGAACCTGGGAGCCGGAGCTTGCAGTGAGTAGAGATTGTGCCACTGTACTCCAGCCTGGGCGACAGGGTGAGACTCCGTCTCAAAAAAAAAAAAAAAAAAAATCACAGTTATGGGCTAGGCACAATGGCTCACACCTGTAATCTCAGCATTTTGGGAGGCCAAGGTGGGTGGATCACTTGAGGTCAGGAGTTCGAGACCAGCCTGGCCAACATAGTAAAACCCTGTCTCTACTAGAGATACAAAAATTAGCCAGGCATAGTGGCACACACCTGTAGTCCCAGCTACTTGGGAGGCTGAGGCAGGAGAATCGCTTAAACCCAGGTGGCAGAGGTTGCAGTGAGTGGAGATCACGCCACTACACTCCAGTCTGGGCAACAGAGAAAGACTCCATCTCAAAAAAACTCAAAAACCAAAAACCAAACAAGCAAACAAAAAACCAGTCACAGATATGAATACTATTATCTACTGAAACATTTTACATGATAATTTCATTCCCAACACTTTCCCCTCCATTCAGAATCACACTTACTCTTGGGAAATCAGTTGAATCTAACTGTAAGGTAGTGGCTTAAAGCAGACAGCGAAGACTGTAACTGGGCATGACAGGTTCTCACTCCTGGGGCTCCCTTTCAATCTCTTTCAATTTCCATTCAGAAGAGAGTTAGAGTTTACTGGAGTTCGGGGAGAGGCACGGAAGAAGAGAGAAGCTTAGAAGAGCCAGAGAACCAGGGTAACTCATAACCTCCCTGTATAACCTCTGGAGGTCTGGGGGCTGAAAATAAGGAAGTGGAGCAGGGAGACTGCCCCAGGGGCGTAAAGGAGAAGAGGGGGTGGAGGAAATGGAAAATCAATATTCTATAGTTCTCATAGGCTACTCAAACAGAGGTGGGAAGAAAACGCAAGCCCAAAGCAAGAGGTAGGAAAGATACGGAATATAGAGCCATTACCTGAGCCTCCCCCACCCCAGGTGAGGTGGCTCTAAATGGTTAATGGAGGTGGTTTTGAGTGCAGTAAATGCGAGGCTCCCAGGGCAAGGGTCTAGAATTTCAAAGCCACTGACTGACAAGGACAATGACATTGAGGGAGTGTAGGAATTTGGCAAAGAGAGATCTGTGACTGAAGCAGACAGTCCTCTGAGTAGGTCTGGGGAGTCCCGTATTTTGGTGTTCTCAGGACTTAATGTGCACAGTGAATGAAAAAAAGTGGACCCCAACGACAGTGGGTCAGAAGGAAAGTTGAGAGATGATCTCCTCTACTAATAAGCCACACCCTAATGCTGTCGTAGAGAAGCTGGCTGCTGGGGTTGGAACTCTCAGCTTCATCCACCTCCCATTCTCTCTCTGGGTGGGCAAAAGCTGTTTTCCTCTCATGGAAGAAACAACAAAGAGAAAATAAAGATTAGACTTGGCTACCCCAGACCTAAGTGGGAAGAATAGCAGTTGAACCTGTGGAAAGCTTGAGTTCAAAGATAATTAACAAAATGTGCAAAGTAGATTTCCCAAAACAAACTCAAAAACATACTTTCACGCCTGGAGAAACCTGAGTCTTGTGCTGAGTTGCAGCCATAGTTCAGGAAAGGCCAGAATCCCAGAGGTACAAGGTTTTCTCCTCCTTTCCTTTCCTCAGATGTGAATTAACTAGTCCCAGCTCTAGGTTAGTCCCTAAACTATCACCCGAAAAGCCAACTATGTCGATCAGATCTTAAGAGACAGGACGTAATGGCAATTCAACAAATTCGAATTTGCAAAGCAGTGTCAAATGGGGTGGAAGGTGCAGAGAGGCAAAATGTAGTCACCATCTTGAAGAAAATGGCTGTCCAGGCGGGTGATGAGATGGTTCCCCCACCAGAAGATGAGAGGGAGAAAGGCCTCTGGCTGAGGAAACTTTTATGAAGGAGATGATACTTGAGCTGGGCTTGCCTACTTAACTTGGCCTCATTCTTAGCCACCTCAAGCGGATGCTGTAGACGTCAATAAGGACATTAAATCCATTTGCATCTTGGTCCTACCTCTCTAGCAGAATGGGACTTTCAGCTCTTCTGCCCCAGCAGCTTTTTCTAGAGTCCCTCATATACACCCACTGCATCTCTGAGTCCAGGCTCTGTACAAGCCAGCACTCATATCCCCAACACCCCTTCCATCGCGGGCTTTCATGTGAAGCCATGAACAAGTGCACCCTAATATATGTTCCTTCACTGCAGTGGCCCACCTCAGAGGTGAAACCTGACCTGTCCTTTCCCTGGTTCTCGGGCACCAGTGTCTACAAGGCTTCAGGATCCAAGGAGAAAAAAGAGAGAAGCAAATTGTGGTTTCAGAAATGTTACTGGTTTCTTTCCTATGTTCAAGTCAAGGCAGGGAATTATGGAAATGGTGGAGACAGGATGTTTTTCTTCAAAACTCCCCTGGTGATGAAGAAGAGAGAGTTAGGTTTTCCTGAACCACAGGCAGACACAGAAGAAGGGGAAATCCTGGATAGGGACAGACACAGTTAGTAGACTACAAGGGCAGGAGGAAGTGAAAATCTGAGGCTTTCTTGGGCTGAAGATTCAAGGGTTTCCAGCATAAGTGAGATAATGACGAGACAGGCATCAGGCCTTGGGGCCAGTGGAGGTGTGTTGTCAAGGGTAGGTGGATACACTGAGGCAAGACCTGCTTCCTCCCACTCCCTCCAAAGTTAAACGGATTTGAAACCTTGAATACTTTATCCTCCATAACTAAGATGAGCCTTTGTTCACCAAAACTTTCTCTACAGTAGCTCACGTCTTATGTCTCTTTTCATTCCCATTGATCCTAGCTGAGTTCAGGCCCTCAGACAGGCCCCTGTATACATCCAATCTTCACCACTGTCCCATGCATCTTATGCATTCTTTCCAGATTAATCTTCTAAAGAACAAATTGAGCACTTCAGTGTGTATAATTGGTGCTCTTGCTGTGGGTCTTTTGTGGGCATGGTTATATATTTTTTCTCTCTTTATTGCCACCACCTAATATTGAATTTTGCCATAGCAAATGCTTGATATCTGTGTCTAGAGTAAATATAGAAATGCTATGGATATAATAGTTTCTGATAATTTAATCCCAGTAGAGAAAACACTCATTTACATATCATTTCGGGGTCTCGTGGAAGTTGAGATAGGTCTAGGCAACTTCCACTTTTGAAGCAGTTAATTTAAATCTGAAGAAATAACTATAATTCAAAAATTATGTTTTAGATGTTTACATTGAACCAATGTTCTCACCACACAAAAATATAACTTAATAGAAATGTGCTACTCATAGTATAATTACATTCAATTTTTGTGTACTATTTACTTGAGTTGTGGCCAGTCATGGGACCTAAATTTAGAGTGTGATGGTTATCTTCCTCTTTCAATTCTGTCAGCATATTTCTGTAACTCTACGGATTGCTTAATTCAGAGGTAAGGTCAAAAACCTAATGTGGGGCTCTTAATGAATGTGAGACCTGGGACAAATGGCCTTCCGCCAGCCTCACACCATTATTACAGGCTCTGCTCAGTTTATACTTCTGGCCCTTTGTCATTCTTGTCAGAAGAGCATGAGAAAAGTGGCCTGATATTGACCAATGTATTCTGTCAGTCATTCATGGAAAAAAGTCCTCCATGTGCCAGGTGGTGCTAGGGGCTGGATAGACAGGAAGAAACAAAACAGATGTGGTCTCTGAGCTCACAGAACTCAGTCTAGAGGGGAGTACAAGCAATAAAGAATCACTTAAAATAATTTAATCCTGTGAAGGCATGAAAACAAGGCAATGCGAGGGAGAATTAAAGTGGGAAGGAGTGGGGGACAGAACACAGACTTCAGATGGAGTGGCCGGGGAGAACTTTCTGAGAAGGTGATGTTTCAGCTAGGGTGTAAGGGAAGTAAAGGTCCCAAGAAGGACAAAAAAAGGAAAAGCATTCCTGGCTGAGGGAACAACGTGTGAAGACCTCAAGGCAGGAAGGGGCTTGGGATGCTGAAGGAACTAAGAGAGAGGCTAGTGCAGCTGCAGTACAACAAGCTTCTTCCAGGCAGTCTCCTATTGAGTTCATGTTAAAATAGTCCCCTAGGGTTCTGCAACATGGTGGCCTTGGCCATAAGGTGAGGCTGTTGGAAGCAGACTGTGGCAGTATTAAAATGCAGGGCCTTAATAGACCTGATAAGGGGTTTGTGGTGTGGTAATTGAAATTTTTGAAAAACTGAAGTGTTACATAAGACATTTGAGAAGGCTTGAGAAAAATAGGATGAACTTTCATCTTAGGACATGAATCAGGAAATGGATTAGATGGCCTTTCAAGGTTCCTTCTATTTTGGGGATCCAGGGATTTTCATACATTTGGAGTAGAGAACTTTATAAAGCTCTGGAATTAAAAAATTCTGAGAAAATTGAAACATCCACATTTCCAGCATATTGAGTCACTGTACAAAAGGGACTTCATTCAAATCAAAAAGAATTGACAGGAATTTTGGATGGTACTAATAGTCACTGAAGAAACTAGACACCGAACATGCTTGATCTTGAAAGAACAACAGAAAGTCATTCTGACCAGAAACATTCTTAGAAGATAAAACAAAGCCCATCTTTAGGACATTTCAAAAAGGCACTGTGTCAGCCAAACATATCCAAGAACACATCCAAGCCGAAGAGGCCAGGTGAGGTTGAGATTTTTGATGTCAATGGTGTGACAGAAACTGTGCCAATCACAAGGATCCTGAAGACACCTTTAAATGGAGGCTGTGTCTTTCGTGCACTGGGAACCCTGAGACTGTGATCATGGCTGTCCTGAGACGGTGATAATGGCTGCAGGATGGAAGCAGTAAGACGGTGTCGGCAGGGAGAAAGTAAAGAACATAATGAGAAAGAAAAGAGAAGAAACAGTAACTGGAAAAGCAGACTGTTTAGAGCTTTCTCAGCAAAGCTTACCTTTCCCCTCCCCAAATATGGGTATCGAAAATGTTAAAGAAGAATGTTAAAAATGCTTTGAGGCATAAAGGAAATTTCATTCTCTTTTTCCTTTTTGTTAGCAAAAAGTGTGTATGTGTGTGTGCATTTTCTCATGATGCAACACAATCCTCAAAGAATTAGAAGACCATGTACTGCTCTTATTGTGGTGAGATCCTGAGACAAGGATATATATTTCCAGACAGACCCCATAAAACTAGGTCAGTAGTAACTTAGGTATGAATGTTTTAAATGCATAAAAATGCAAATTGTCAGTATTAGGTCAAATGCAGCTAGAAAAGAGTAGTTTTCTTATAGTAGTTCAGATATTGCTAAACTTGATTTTTGCCATCAGAAAAGATAATGTAATTGCATGCCTTCAAAACTAAAATAAATCTGAACACAAAGTGCATTTTACAGGGATAATTCCTTCACTCTCCCTTTTAATTTTTTTCCTTCTACCCAATTTCTACAAATCAGTAGTGATAACAGTTATTTTTTAAGCAAATCCTTATTGCTATGCAGTATATTTATATACTTTCCCAGTATAAATATTGTGATAATTATAGTGGCATCATTGCTATCAGTTTGTTAGAATTATGGCAGAGTCCCCAGATCAAATCTAGCAAGATCACAGTACTACCACCATATATTGGAGGAACTCAGACCAGAAAAGTTACATGCAGAGTAGAACCAAATAGGGGGCAATTTCAATGGAAATTTCAATGGAGACTCTATCTAAAAGGCTTTAGCTATTGAAATACTGAAAGGATTTTATTATAAGTCTGCACATTGCATGAACTCTATGACAGCATCAAATAGAGCTCTAGTTATATTTAAGTTTTAAATCTGAAGATAAATCCTAGTGATAAAATCTGAGGATTTCTTCTAAATCAAACGGCAGACAACTACCCATCTCCTCACAGAGGCATATTTTAGATTTGGCTCTTTGATTCAGAATTGAAAATGATGCTAAAATAAGTTTCTGAAACAATCAAATTAGAAACTGGCATATTCCATCCCACTTAATGAGAATGAGTGGAGCCTCTAGGATAAACTCGATTAACATAAAAAGGGTAAAGTCTTATTTCTGTTTCTGGAGAACAAACAGCAAATATTTTTAAAAAATACCTCCAAATTGTGTTTATACCTTCCAAATAACAGCACATGCTATTTCTCTGGCCATCACTCAGGCCAATATTTTCATTCTAAAGAAAGCTGCTTCCTGAGTCTCTTTTCCTGAAATATCTTATCAAAAATGAGTTTTTATATCCAGTGATTTAGAACTGGCTGCTTAGCCTCAAACACACTTTTGTGCAACATCTGAGCCTTGGGAGAGGCCATAATAGCAATACTAACAGCAAAATGGCAGCTCACATTTTGGAACATTTACCAGGTGCCAGACCTGTGCAAGCACATGTCATCATTTCATTCTTAAAACCACCTACAAATCAGTACTATCTACTCCTCTTTTGAAGAAGAGGAAATGGACAGATACGGAGTTTAAGTAATTTGTTCAATGTCACACATGTAAGTAAAGCCAATTCATTTGACTTGAGAGACCGCATCTTTTTTCACTGCATTATATTATTTCTCTACTGCTGAAGAGCATAAAGCATCCAGACAATGAAAAGAGAGTGACCTAGGTATCGGTACTCTGTAAGCCTTCCAAAGGCTGGAGACGGACAAAGACCTCCAGCCACACGGCGGAGTCTGAAGAGAGCCTGTGTGTGACTGTTAGGATAGGTCAGATGCACAGGGAATAAATTCTAAAGCAGTAGGAGGGCAGCAGGGAAGGGTGGTTAAGAGCTCAGATTCTTGTGTTGGTTGAGCCAGGGTTCAAATCCTGACCTGGGTATTTACATATACAGCTTTTTAAAAAATTTAATCGCCTTGACTTAAGTTTCTTCTGCTGTAAAATAAGAATGATAATAGTATACATTTCATGCTAAGTTGTGAGCTATAATAAAATATGAATATAAAGTTCTTATAGAGTACTTCACACATGCTGTCTTAATGATGTTAACTATTATTTTTATGAACTAAGTAGAGACCAAGGAGGGCGTAGGAAGCATGGAGTTTTCCCATATTCATGTCTCTGATACAGAACAGAAATCTAAAAGGTTACAGGCTCCTTGACCTATCAGTGCTATTGTTGCCAGAGAGGGGAATGGGGTGGTCCTTCCTTGCATTCAGAAAGGAGAAGGCATTACTGACCGGGCCGACGAGGTTGGCTCTGTGACTTGGCGCTGCACGCGGACGCCATGGGCACAGTTCTCCTGGATCCCCGTCTGGGTGGAGAGGGGAATGTCAGGGGAGGTGTGGCTGATCTTCATGGAGGAGTCAGGGCAGGGCGTGGGAGGATCTAGGAAGTCCTCACTGTTCTCCTGCTCATTGGTCTCTGTGTCCATGTAGTTAAGGGGCTCCTGGTTGTTGTCTTTGCTACCAGAGGGCAGGCCTCGTTCTCGCCACGGAACCCAGCAGAGTTTCCAAGATACGAAGAGAGACACGCCAAAGAGAGCGAGACCACAGGCAGTGACCACAAGGGTCAGCAGGCTCACTGAGATATCTGCAAAGAAGCAAAGATCAAAGGTCAGTGTGGTCATTCCCCTCAAGCCCACCCATTGCACAGCGTGGGCAGAATGACCCTCTCATCCACTCATCCCTTGGGAGCCGACTGCGGAAGGCCATGCTGGGGCGCATGGCTGGGTTACTTAATTCTGGGACGGTGACAATGAGAATTCATACACAAACCAGAGGACCAGTGAGCAGAAACACAGAGGAGGTACCATAGCATGCAAGCCATGTTTAGAAACAATAAACAGCCTGCTATGGCAAGAAAATGGATATATTCATGGGGACTAGAATGCCCTTCAAGTTAAATGAGACTCTATCCTACAGGCAGCACCAATCATTAATGTTTTTTGAGCAGGGCAGTTTCAAATGTCCTTAACAATTATTCTGTCATCTCAGAGAGCTGTATAATATAATTGGGGAATTGTGTAAGTCATAACTTTTTAAAATACGAGAAACTAGAGTGCTTTTTTGGTTCTATTTTTCCTATTAACTTTTAAGGTTCTAAGCAAAATGAAGCTCAAATCTTCTGTGAATTTTGCAGCTTCAAGAACAACCCCCACTCAGTGATAAGTCCTCAGGACGCAGGATAGAATATTGTAGTTTGGGTTTCCCCAGTAGCATACCCTAAAACAAGTATTAAAGGGAAAAGCATTATTTAGAAGGAGAAGGAAACACAGGAGAAGTGATCCAGAAAAGGAAGCCAATAAAAGGTACATTATCAAGCCAGTTCCTACAGTGAGGGAGTAAAGGTTAAACCTGCTATGGAGGCTTAATACACCTCAGATATACCCCACCTAAGTGGCAAGGGATCCAAGGTATTACACATTAGCTCTCTTTAGTTATTAATTAGAGGGCATTTCTCAAAGGGCATTAAATTCCCATCATTTGAAACCTGCAGCCCAGATGAACAAAGTAAGCTTCAGTGGCCAGGAAAATCCCACACTGAAATCAATGCAGAGGCTGCACTGGAGGTCAACAGGCACACAATGAAGTGGTAAGGGGACATGGCAGGTAATGACAGCATCTGCTACATGGATCATGGACCACAGCCCCATGGCATCAGCAAGTCTTGGCAGTTCAGTATCCAGTGACTATGCCCCTAAGGTTCAAAACATTTCACCCCCTCCAGGCTTCTGCCCCAGGCTACAGTAGAACCAAGGAGGCTGAGCATCAATCTGAATGCATTTCTGGCATTATGGTGGCTGTAAAATCCTTATTTTAAAGGACAACCCTGCCTGTCATTACAGTGCTTCATTACACTCTGGAGCCCCAAGGATTCTCCCCAGGGTTTGCCTCTACTGCCCATCATTAATATTTGCATTGCTTCAACCAAAGTTTTCTGAATGCCTACTACATGCCAAGTGCTACGCTAAGCTCTAGAGATATAATGAGGAACATGATAGGCGCACGCCATGTCTTCACAGATTCATATTCTAACGAAGGAGAAAATTAGAAATTAGTAAATGACTAATTGTGAGTTCTAAATAGTACTCACAATTTCAACTATGCACAGCACTGCCAACATACTATGATCTGTGACAAAGCTGTATTTCTGCTGAAGCATGCATGGGAACCCCTCCTGCAAGTCACTTACCTACTGAGTCAAGCTGAACAACTACCACCCACCTGCTTTTTAATATGACTCTGAAGGTACTTGGTCATTCTTGTGAATTGATAAAACTGTTTATCAAAAATTGCTCTTAAAAGAAAGCCAGCTGCCAGGACTGTTGATGGATTTAACATACTTCCTCTTTGCCGCCCAATCAATCTTCACCTTCTACTGAAACAATATTATATCTCTGTTTGAAAATACTGGGGTTGAAGTTTCAATATGGGTAACTCTGCAAATCTTTTTCACTTTTGTCTCCTCAAATCCCGCAGAAATGGGATAAGCAATGGAAAATAAGAAAGGGCATCATCAATTCATCAGTTAACCAGGAACTTTGAGGAATATCTGGAATTGTTTTAAAAGAAAAGCCAATTACTGTTGAACATTTAACACAGGCAAATGAAGGGAGACTGAGAGAAAATAAAAATTAAAAATCCCAGGTGCAGAGCAACAGGCAGGGATGGGGGATAGGGAGTGGAGTCAGTGGGGTCAAAGTAAAAGGGGCTAGGAACTATACCTCAAAGAGCCCAACATGAGGTGGGGAGGGCATGGATTGACCCCGGAGTCCACCTGGTTCTGACCGCTCACACAGGAGAGTAGACAATATGCTGGTGCAGACTTCTGTGATGGGTGATAGTGCTGGGGGACCACGAAGGAGGAAACCCTGTCCCAGGTAATCAGGCTGCAAACATCAATCCCCGCCCTCTCCAACACAAAATAGGCTCCACATAGCAGTGAAATCTCTTAATACATTCTGTAGTCTAAATGGAGACAAAACTTCTTCTCTACATTCTGTTAATCACTTCAGCTCTGTCCTGACACAGACACTGCTAGGAGACCACCACCAGCAAAGGCTGGAGAAGGGGCACACTGGGAGGCCGTAGGATTTAGGAATGTGATGAGATAACTGTGTTATTAGTCACTCTGCCCTATCACAGGGCTCCTCTCCAAGGGAGAAGCATAAATCCCAATCCCCAGTGTTGGTCTTGGGCATATGACTTGCTCTGGCCAATGAAATACGAGTGAATATGGCCCATGCCACCTTGAAGCAAAGGTCCCTTGTGCTCCCACATTCTGCATGAGAAAAGAGCTCTCAGATAAGAGCTGATCTTCCAGCCTGACTGCCATAATGAGAAGACTTGTGGCATTAGCCCAAAGTCCAAAATAAGGAGTAAACTTAAACTTGACTGACAACCTGGGGCAAAGCTACAGCTGATCCACAGATCCATTAGCAAAAACTAAATATTTAGTGTATTAAGTCACTAGGATTTTGAAGGGATGTTGGCACAGAAAAAAAAAAAAAGGTAATTTGTGTGATCATATAATTTACTGTCCAAAGCTAGGACACTTTTAGGAGAGAAAAGGGGTTATATTAATAATTACATGGGGATAAGATACTTAACCTAGGATTGTCCAGGGAAAATTAGGATGTAGGGTCATCATAAACTTAAGAACCCCATGTGACCTCTGAACTCATCAGCTTAGTACAACGTGACCTCTCAGGATTCACTTGGCATAGATAGCATGCTAAGTAAATTGAAGTTCTGCCTCACTTTAACTAGTAACCATAGGACCCCTGACCCAGTTTAAGAACAACTCCAGCCTGTTAGTTGACTACAGCTCATGCACTCACAAAACAGCCTGCTCAGAAGTCCAGTCGTGGGGGATCCAGAAGAGCAGAGATCTTGTCCATCTCAACACTGACTGCCAAGAATCTAAAAGAGTTCCTGGCACACAATAGGCATTCAGTAAGTGATGAAGCCCATCTGAGGAGGCCTGTACTATCTGCTACGTCTACCTTGAATTATGGTTGTGCGGGTTGTGGCCTGTAAACTCTAGGGGGCACCAGTTACAGTCATAGTCATTACAGATTGTTGTGCATATTGTTATTTTTTAAATTGTAGCAAATGGCAGGAGTGGCTTTTTTTCTGATTTACACAAAGGTGCTGTGTGAGTTAGCAGTGGTCCAGAGAGAAATGCCTATAGGAAACACCAATAGTGACCTACACAGCCACACCAGACACCAAGCATAATTGTCTAGACTTCTGTTTAGAAATAGCTGAGTATGCCTTCTAGATAGTACATTTCTACCTTTCTCTTGTTTTTTTCAGAAAGAGGTGCTAGAAAGCTACTTTGGAATCACTAAGGCCATACTTCCCACCTCAGACCCATGACCTCCAAAAATGGAGAGGGAGCATCAGCTTAGAATCACAAGATGTTATTTCTTAAGTTAGGTGGTAGAAACATGACCATTTGTTTTATTATTAATTTTTACATGTGTTCATGAGATATATTATTGTCATTTATGGTATATCTCATTTTAAAAATTGAAAAATATATGACATTAAAAATAGTCGTGACATAATTTTTCTAAAGAACAGGAATAGCATAATTAGTGCTTTTATCCAAGAGTTGAGGTAATAGCCAGATAGTCCCTCAAGGAAGAAAAGAGGCAAATGGCAAACCAGTTCTGATCCAAATCCCTAGAAGTATTGCTGTTTTGGGGGTGACCGTGCATAAAACTATACCCAGAGCTGCATGGAGTGTATTCTTCCCAGGGAAGATGTGGCATAGATGCCCTGTAATCACGCCTGTTTGTCAGAAACCTCTTCTACTGGCTATTAGCTCTAGCCATAAGACGTGATGCATTGTAGCAACATCCCTAGCACACCAGATAGAAGACACCCATGACACCTTAGACCCAGCAGACATTCCAGCTGGACACCTGTAATACTAGAGGATTCCTGCAAGCATTAAAAAAAAAGTGGACCTGTATTAGAGTGACGGTGATTACTGGCCAACAAGTAAAAAATTTAAGCCCACATACTCACATGGATGAGAAAAATTGGTTGTCTTCCTAAACTGTGAAGGGCCAGGAAGAACACATAAACAGACAAAAAAAGAAAAACCATGGAAGAAATGGGCAAATCAACACCTCAAAAGAGGTAACCAAGCTGAGCCATCAGAATAAATGGCCCCTGACATGAAAGGAATTACAGTAATGCAAGAGGCAAATTAATTCATGTACCGAGATTTATAAAACAGCAACCAAGGGTGAGAATTGTGACTGCAGCAGTAACCAGAAAAAGACACCCTTGAGATCCAATCTGATCTAGAAGTAAAATAATGTGATTGGTGAAATAAAAGAAAAATTAAATAGAAAGCAAAGTCAAGGAACAGGTACCTGAACGTAGACCGAGAAAAACAAAACCAAACAAAACAGAGACTTGGGAAATTTAAATGAAAGATATGATATGTAGAGTATTTATCCAGGAGGTCTAATATTTAAATTTTCCAGAAGTGAGGACAGAGAGAATGAGAGAATGAAGGTGAGAGTCATCAAAGAAAAAAACAAAGTCCCCTAGAACCGAAGGACAACTTGATAGGGGTCCGCTGAGCATCTATAATAAAATATCACTACCTTAATTGCATTATTGTGAAATTTCAAAACATGAAGATTAGAGAAAGTCACAAAACTTAAGAGACAAAATGAATTTGAAAAAATAACAAAGAAATTAGAACCATAGTGGCATCAGAATTTTCACCAGAAACCATAGATAATTGAATAATGCCTGCAAACTTCTGAGAAAAAATTACATTCAAACTAGAATTCTATACCCAAACATGATATCAATAAAGCATGAGGGCTGAAAAAGTCATCTTTCAAAACAAGTCAGAAAAATTATTTTCAATGTATTTATCATAGCAAGTTACTTGAGGATGAATGTAGGAGATTAAAATGAGGCAGAAAACACAGTGTACATGAGAAACTGTACTGAAGTTGGAAGACTGGTGGAAGGAAGTCCCAGCATGCGAGCTGAGCAACAGGCCTAGAGAGGGGCCAGTCCGGCCTGGACCAGCTACGTGATTGGGTTTAAAACACCATACAACTAAGACACATTGACAAAACAAGAAATGTTTTGAACTAAAAATGTAATAATATTAGAGATTATTGTTAATTATTTTAGGTATGATAATTGTATTGTGGTTATGTGTTCTAAATACATACAGAAATAGTCAAATGATATGTCACAATTTGCTTCACATTATAGGTAAAATAACATTGACTATGAATTGATAATTGTTGAAACTGAGTTTTGAGTACATGGAGTTTATTATATTAACCTCTCTACTTTTAAATATGCTTGTCAATTTCCTGATGGAAAGTAAAAATAAAACATATTTTGGTAGGCAGAATCTCTGACTTCAATCTTAGATATTCTTATTTAATATGTCTTGGGTGAGGTCCAGAGTCTCCATTTTTAGCAAGCATCTCAACTCTGAATAAATCTGATCTCTCTCTCTCTCTCTCTCTCTCTGTCTCTCTCTCTCTCTCACACACACACACACACACACACACACCGTGGTTCAGAATACAAGACATTTTCCTGATCCTCAGATGATTGTGTGTGTGTCAGGGGGAGGGCTAATAAATATAATACTGGGAAATTTAGTTAGAAAATCAGCCCATGGAGAACTTGAGGATATCAATGGTGCTTTGTAGGGAAGGTGGTAATGTAATTAGAGAGTGGAAACAGGTGGGACCAGACAGCTCTGATGTTAAGTGTTTCAGATTTTGCTGAACCAATGAGGAAACATTGTATTAAGAATGAACACAATGAAATCTTACTGATAATCCAGAACAATTCATGCCACAATTACCTCATCAATATCCCTTTCACGTAAATACAAAGCCTTTATTTAATATCTTATTTTCTGTATTTTTAAACTTTATAAAATGAATGTGTCTCTCTTTTGCAATTTAAAAAGATAATATTCCTGTGAAACTAAAACTTCTCTAAAAATTAAAGTATATTTAAATAAAAAGAAAGAGACACAGGAAGAAGAAGGAGGAAGAAGAGGAGAGGAAGGAGGAGAAATTGTTGAGTTCAAGCATCATAACATTCTGGAATTATCCAGTGAAGGAGAACTTAGATCCATACACACCTCAACAGGCCAGAGGGCATCCTGAGTGGTGATCCTGCAACATCTTGAATAAGAAGCATGTAATAGATTCTAGTTTAAATCAGATACTTTTTGTTTAAATGATTGAACTTAAGTTGTCTGGGAAATGCAATATTGCCAAAACATTGTTATTTAATTATACTTCAGGCACCATAGCACAGTAGCTGTAAACACAGGTTATAGAATTATACAGTCAAGATATGCATTTTAACATTGTGTAACCATAGATAAATTTTCTGTATCTTGTCTTGTCAAAGTAACATTGGGATAATAATAGTACCTATCTCTTAGGGGTTTAGTGAATATTTAGGAAGGTAGAAGTGCTCACTGAATGTAAGTTATTGTTTCTGTTTTTTTCATGAGGTATCTCAGGATTTGGCTGCTCCATATCAGACTTATTGCAAATAAATAATCACCTTGGTTACTAAATACTGAGGCTTCCTGCAGCTTTAAAAAATGGCCTGGCATCAAACCAATGTCAGGTGCTCAAAAGGTGCTTATTGAACTGAATTACTGAGGACAAGAGAAGGAGCTCCTATTGAGTACCTGATATTTGCTAAGTATTGAATTAGGGATATAAAATAAATAAAACGAATCCTTGCCCTCAAGGAACTACTAATCAAGAAAATTTCAAGAGTGCTAGTTGCAATTTATAGAGTACTACTATAGCCTAGAAGTCAGGCATACATAAACCAATACATGGAGTTCAGAGAGGCCTTTTCATAAGACACAGAAATTGATACCAAGAAATGGGGGTGCTGTTGAAACAAATAAATACCTAAAATATGAAAGCAGTTTTGAAATTATGTAATGGGTAGAAACTGGAAGAATTTTGAGGTGCATGCTTGAAAAAGCTTACACTGCCATGAATGGACCATTAAGAGCAATTCTGGTGCAGGCTCAGAAAGAAAAGAGGAGAGCTGTAGAGAAAGCCTCAAGCTTCTTGCAGAATACTTATGTGCCCATGACCAGAATGTTGGTAGTATATGAACAGTAAAGACCATTCTGATAAAGTCTCAGAGAGGAATGAAGAACATATTATTAGAAACTGGAAGAAAGGTGATCCTTGTTATAAAAAGGCAAATAACTTTGCTGAATTGTGTTTATGTTCTGCTGTTTTGTGTAAGGTAGAACTTGGGAGCAATGAAACAGGATATTTAGTTGGGAGCAATGAAACGGGATATTTAGCTGAAGCTATTTCTAACCAAAGTTTTGAAGGTGCAGCTTGGCTCCTCCTAGCTGCTTATAGTAAAATGAAAGACAGAATGACTTAAAGACAGAATTGTTAAGCAAAACAGAATGAGAACTTGTAGATTTAGAAAATTCTCAGTCTATCCACATTGCAAAAAATGAGAACCCACGTTTGGAAGAGAACACTAACAGTGTGGCCAACTGACTATTTAAGAGATTAGTATAGGTATGAACCACAAACTTAATCATCCACCCCAGCAGAGAAACTGCCAATTTGAACCAAAGGGGAAGGAAAAGAGAAGGAACGAAGGAAGGCTGTCAGATTTGGATTTTACAGGATGGGACCACAATGCTATTCAGCTGAGAACATTCACTATTTATCAAGAATCCTGAAGAAGACTCACAGATCATCAGGGCTGCCTCCTTGGTTTCAAAAGGGATGGCAATTGTCTTCCTTTCAATAGGCCAAATGGCCCCACTGAACTGAGAACCATGGGGAAAGGGCTGCCCAGATGTGTGGGTGTGTGGGCCATGTGGCAAAGCAGCTGGGGCAGAGCCACAGCCCCAGGCAGGCCCTCAGTCCCAGTGAGCCTGGGGGGCAGAATATTAAGCCAAAGAGGATTATTTTTGAGCCTTAGGACCTCATGGAGTTTGCCTTATACTTTGGACTTACCCAGGACCTGTTACCTCTTTCTTCTTTTCTGTTTCTCCATTTTGGAATGGAAATGTCCATCCTATGCCTTTTCACCATTGTATTTGGAAGCACATAACTTGTTTGGTTTCACAGGTTCACAGCTGGAAGAGCAATTTGCCTCAGGATAAATCATATTTTAAGTCTCATCCATATTTAATTTAGATAATATTTAGATGAGACTGGATTTTAGACTTTAGAGTTAATGCTGGAATGAGGTAAAACTTTTGGGGCTTTAGGGATGTAATGAATGTAGTTTGCAGTTAAGAAGGACATAGATTTTGGGTGGCTAGCAGTGGAATGATATAGATTTAATGCTTGTGTCCCCCCCAAATTCATATGTTGAGATCCCAACATCCAATATAATGGTATTAGGAGGTGGAGCCTTTGGGAGATGATTAAGTAATGAAGGTGAAGCCCTCATGAATGGGATAAGCATCCTTATAAAAGAGACTTAAGAGAGTTCCCTCACTCCTTCCACCATATGAGGACACAGAAAATATGCTGGTGCCTTGGTTTTGAATTTTCCAGTCTCCAGAACTGTGAGAAATAATTTTCTACTGTTTATAAGCCATCTAGTCCATTGCATTCTGTTATAGTAGCCCAAATAGACTTAGACACCATAGATGAGGAGTGAGCCAAATCCTACTTATTACTACTTCTCTTATACAAATATAAAACCCAGGTCATCTGTCATGGGGCCAAAAGACTTCAGCAGGAGAAAGAGAAAGTGAGGGCTTCTTTCTATGGCCATGCAAGTTGCACAGGGCACAACTTGCTGAGCTTTACATGGTGTCCCTGGGAAACAGCTTGTATATTCCAAGTGACCTAAGACCAGCTTTGCCATCATTTATATTTTGTGACCTTGGGTCACTGCCCCTCAGTGATCTTCCTCTATCACAACAGGTTTGGGCATAGCTCTCATATTATGTGGTTCTTCTGAAACTGCCATATGACTTGCAGTACACAACAATGTCTGTATCTAAGACGAAAACCACTATAATACTTCTCATTAGTGACCATAAGTCAGTGAGTACTAATTAACTGAAGGCTAAAACTTAGGGCCATTCCTGCTTTTCATTCTTGCAGCAGACATGTATGTGGCTCTCTTAGCTCTGATTCATGGTGAAAATTGCAAGGATTAAGGAGCATTAACTTGGGTCTGCAGGGCCATACCATTTTTAAGACACTGAGCCAGGTAAACAGAGCACTCTGCTGCCTTAAATATAAGAAGTTTGAGGGCTAGTAAAATGAATTGGAACATGGAAATTGGCAAATGGCATTAAATGCAATTTTTTTTTGTGACTGACACAGAGGGAAGAACATCTGAAATATGACTGTTTCTGGCTCTCTGATTCCTTCCTCAGAAGGCTGCCCAGATGATTCTGCCTATGTTAACTAAGGAGCTGGCCTAAAATTAGCATTGAGAGAACACTTTCTGTTATACCTTCTATTTGCAAAGTGCTGTCTCATCAGCGTGACCAGTTCCTCTTCACACTGGCATCACCACCCCTGCATTGCCCGGATGGGGCAGGGGTGCTGAAGCTAGACACTGACAGCCTGGAGCCATATACCCTAAGAGCCAGATTTAAGTTCTTGTGTCCATAACCCTGTTGCACCTGAGTCCCCACTTGCTGCCTAACAGGAAGGTTCAGGAATCATTATTAGGTTTGCTACTGGGTTTCTGCTTTCTTTTTACTCGATTGCTCCAGAAATTATTTAATTGGGGGAAAATCTACTTAAAAATATTTTACACCCACATAATTGGAAGTGCTTGCAAAATCTACAATGTTTTCTACACCATTGGATTCTGGCCTGTGCAGTGTAAATGGAAACACTCAGATGTGCTAGGATTCTTGTGAAATTACAGAAAATCTGATGTGCAGAGTTTTAGACCATTGAGACTTTTTGCTGAAAAGAACTGTGAAACGAAACTCAAAAACATGTAGGGACTGGGGACAGGCCAAAGAGGTCAACAACCCTCTGGTGTGTCCACAGGAAGTGGGATCCCAACCTGCCCTGTAGGGCTGTGTGGAGTTGGAGGGGAATGGGATTCAGGAAATGGAGACCAGCTTTGTGGCCTGCTGTGAGACTTTGGGCCGCCTGCACCCTCTCCTGGGCCATTTCTCACCTTTACAATGGGGGAAGAGATTCCTCCTAGCCTGGCTATGCACTTGCATCTGTATAAAACCTGTCACAGTGCTTTCATAGTGTTGGCTGAAATTCTTTTTAAGCTTGGCACTACTGTATTGGCTCAAATCTTTACACTTCCCACAGGACCCTTTTCCACACTTCTTCAGTGGATGTCATTTCCTTGGCCAGATCTTGTCTTGCTTTGATCAAATTCATGTTTTAACCTCTCATCTACCCTGTGGAACAAGACCAAAAGGCTGCTTATAATCACCTTTGTGAATGAGCATTTAGAAAAATCTCATAAAGCAATATATAATGTGGGAAAGTTTCTTCCCATTTTTGCCTTCCATGAGAAGTGACTTTTCCCTAAATGCTCCTGCTCACTTCTCTCACCCCTCACTTCTCCATTCCAAGAAGTGAGTTTTTTGATTGATTGGAAAGCCACACTCAGTCTTGCCTCTCCCTTCTATTTGACCTTCACCTTCCTACACAAGGCATGGTGCAATATTGGGATGTTTGTCCTTGCTCCAAACCCCAGGATTAGGCACACTTCCCTTCCTGGCCTTCCTCAGGTATAGCTGGACACCTTCAGGACAAGGCCTTGATCCTTAAACACATGGCCATGCATGTGTTTAGAGAGCAGAACTGCATACATGCTGTCTGCTAGCTGTACTTATGTTGGTATGGGCAGAAGACTTCCAGGCTTCTGTTGGCATGAAGAGAGTTACACGAGGAGATTTTTTTTTTTTTCCCCAGAGCACAGCAGTTGAGCAAGACACAGGATATATGAGAAAATGACTTGGAGATTGGGTGCAGACTTGTTTTTAAACACATGTGAGACACTCCCTAGAGCCTTCTCATAGTTCTTGAAAGAAGGAGCAGAGCCCCTGGTGAGTCCTGGTGAGCTGTTGGGAGCAATGGGCCAATGTATTTTGTGTGTGAGTATCTGCAGGCTGCTCAGGTTCTCGGCATTTCAGTTTATAATTCTATGATTGTAAAACAATATTTTCTCTTTCAAATTAGAAACTTAAAATATCCTGTACTCAAATAACACAGCATTTATATGTGCTGCCCTTTAGAGTCAAAGACTCTCTTCCAACATCTGATGAATACTGAAACCATGTCCTAACATTTGCATTTTAAGTCTTTCAGTAGGGAACTATGGAAGTTCCATTTACCATTGCAAATCTACTCTCCTCCACTCTCTTCCCAGCTTTGGGCTCTGTGAGGCTGACCTACATGGACTATAATAAGGGATTCCTTTGCATTTGGATTCTGTTGAGTTCAACCAAAAGGAGGCCCTAGAGGGATATTGGAGGGTGGCAGATGAGTGAAGTTATAGCATTTATTCCTCCAACTTTCTTCCCGCTAAGTCACCCCATTGCATGTGTCCCTCTACTAAAAGCCACAGCTCTTTTTTTTGGGTTCTTTCAGGCCTGTGGATAGCAATGGCTCCCTACTATTACTAGCCCTGGAGTATTGCACTATCCTTTGATCCTTTCCTTGAATCCTGACCATATCTTTGTTATATGTTCCTGTACTAAACTCTCCTCAAATTACCTAGTTTGACTATCACCCGTTTCCACTGGGACTCAGAATGATTCACTGTAGACTGAGTTGTTTCCTAACATACAAAATGAGATGAGCTTTTATATATTAAGGGGCTTCCAGATCTCATATTCTCAAATTGTGTGAGAAAATCTATCTCTAAAGTGTCTCCTACAACTTAGCAAGATACCTGCCACACCAGAGGAACTCAAATTTAATGAGTTACAAAATTCTAAGCTACATAACATTTCTATTTTATAACTATTCCTTACTCCACTAAAAATGTGATTTAGGAAAAAGAATTGGCAAAGAAGCTGTGTGTTTAAGTATATATACATATACAATAGGCATTAAGATTACATTTTCATCATGATTGAAAATGATACAGTGTTTCATGCTTCTCTAAACATTTAAGACTCCACGCAGGCAGAGCAGTATAGTAGAAGGAGCATTGGTTCTGGGACAAGCATCATGTATTAAATTAACCTCACAACATGTTGTATTGAGCTGCTGCTCATCGAGGTATTATATAACTGGGGCTGGAGTGGCCCATCCAGACTGTTTCAGGGAAATGAATCTTCAGAAGTTCTTAGTGCCTGATGATAGTTCCAAATAGTCTTGCTTCTATGGTCAATATTAACTTTAAAAGAGTCTCTCCTGAGAAATACTTCCAAGCTACAAGGTTGCCTAGTGTCAGAATAGAGAGTGGACTCCTGGTTCAAAATTTTCCCTATTTTTTTCCTCATTTGTCTGTCTTGAACCCTTGTCTGTGGTTAAAAGCACAGACTTTGTTCCAATGTAAAACTCCTTACTACTTGTACTGTTATACCTGAAACCCACCTCTACACCCCAGATCACGGATCTGTCTGTGCTGAAAGCATGGTCAGGTTTCGACTATTAGTATTTGGTTAAAAGCATAAGCTATTGTGTCTTTGTATTCAACTGTCAGCTTTCTACAAATAATATGATTTGAAGTCAATTTCCTTTTAGCAAATAATTCATGCTACTAAAATAAGATGGCTTCTTCTAAATTGTTAATTTTTATCAGTAGTCATGCATAGCAATTGGCATTTACTCATTAGAGTGATTATTAACAATGCCATATGACCAAGAAATGTAGTAATTGTTCTAAAAATCATTGATCAATAAAGAAAAATAATACTTAAGATTACAACACAGTTTACTCTTAAATCAAACTAGAAGATACAAAGAATACCAATTCTTTTCAAAAATGTTCTCCTCAGGCCTGCCCTCTCTGAGTTACAGAAATTCTGCATAACAGGCAGTGGACCGAGCTATAGCTATGAGCAGGCAGTGTTGTTTTTCCTAAGACATTTCTGTAATCTTCACTTCTCTTTAAACCAAGTAGAGTTTTTTATTCATGTTTTTAAAAATTGTAGCAAAATATACATAACATCAAATTTACCATTTTAACCATTTTAAAGTATAGTTCAGTGGTAATTAACTACATTTATCCTGTTGTGCTGTGGTAGTGGTGATCCACTATCCATCTCCAGAACATTTTCACCATCCCATGCTGAAACTCTGTACCTATTAAATACTAACTCCCTCCTCCAGACCCTGGTAACCACTGGTCTATTTTCTGTTTCTATGATAAACCAAGTTGTCTCATTTTACTGAAATCTGGTCCCTAGATAGGATCTTTGCCTTGCAAAGGTACATATGGAAGAACAGGAGCCAGAGCGCTCAGGCAGCTCCTGAACAAATACTGAGGAAAGAGGGGAGTCTGCAGCACATCTCAAATGATGCTCTGGAGACTGAGGCAGGAAAGAGGGCTACAAATAGGTGTTTTACTAACATTTTCCAGATCCTCTGGCCCTAGATGGAAATTTGCTCTCCTGAGGATGCACAGAACTTTTCACACTTTTCTGGGCATCCATCAGCATCCTGTATCACCAGGGGTCCAAGCAGCATTGCCATGAGACACTCTCTATAAAAAGCTGGGCTTGAGATAGAAGTGCCTCCCTAAATACCAGAAATGTGAGCACTGGAGACAGGAATAATGAAGACTCCAAAGAGCAGCCATAGAGAGAGCAGGGTTCTCACACCTGAAAGAGTGGAAGAAATTGAGGCTGCATCACTAGTGGGAGATCAGACAGTGGTCTATGGACAGAACAGAGGTTAGCAGACAACAAGGCAAAGAAAACAGGAGCAGCATCAGGAGACAGAAATAGTAAGAACAAGTATAAATGAGAAGGAGGACAAATGCAGTAGGCTCAGATGAAAGACAGCAAAGCCAAAAAAAATGGCTCATTTTATGTAAGATGTTATTCTCCACCATATCCCCAATGGGGGACTCACAGGAAAACAAAAGAAGTAGTAGGACAGAGGTCCTTCCTATCTGTGGACAGATAAGGGGTAATGATCCAGTAGGCCTAGATATCCAGTGCTAATGTATCAGGCCCAAAAGGGCATGAAGTTCTGGAAGACATTTGGGTGATGTTCTGAAAGATATTTGGGTTAGATAATAATAAATGGAACAGAAATAAGAGGTATTAGAAAGGATGAGACATTATCATAAAAATATAAGAGAAGAAAATCAACTAAGGAAGGGGAAGGTAGATGAAGAGTTTTTTTTTTTTTACAAATACATATAATGCCATAGTTTTACCAAATACCAACAATAGCCAGGTACATAGTCCCTTTCAAACCCTTCTGTCAAAGTACTTCTATGGAGTACTGCCCCTCCACCTCAAGAGTCTGGGGTCCCTCCCAGGGTTTCCCAGGCCCCTGACAGTTACATACTTATTTCCCACTATTGTGCCTCTAGGAGTCTGTGTCAGAAGACCCTTGGATAATCCTATAAAGCTAAGTGTAGGGAGCATCTCTGCCATCTGCCATGACGTTATGATGCTTCTCTCTACTGGGAACACATAGCTTGCTATTTATCACTTGGAAAACATGGTGCACAGGGCTTAAATAATGCCACTTCCTTCAGCAAACTTATAAATATATAATAAGGAAACAATAAAAACATAAGGTGTTTGGTTGTCTTTTCATAAATTCCATATTGTCTTGGGAATTCCTAGATGTTTGCTGCTGCATAATTTGTTACAAGCTAGAAGAGAGCCATTATCTCATTGTCCCAAAATAAGAAAGAAAAAGTTGCAGTTAAAAGTCATCATTATTTATCATGTCATAAAAAAGGGATGAAGATTATCTCAAGAGGAAGACGCAATAGCCAGGTTATGAGTAAGAAACTTCAGCATGAGAGAATGCCTTCTCGCCTTCTAAGATAGTGAGTAACTCAATTTTTACTGTGGCCTTTGAATAACTAAGGATAGAGACCACAACCACTAGTGAGCTGAGAAACCAGTGTGGGTGATAATATCCAATTATTACTTAATGTTGTCTTGAGAAGAAGTAGACATTGCTGAGACTGATGTTGGTCAGGGTTCTGAACTTTTCACTCAAGGACTTATAAAAATAGCCACTAATTTAATATGGGCATTGATATGGTTTGGCTCTGTGTCCCCACCCAAATCTTATGTTGAATTGTAGTTCCCATAATCCCCACATATCATGGGAGTGACCCAGTGGGAAGTAATTGAATCATGGGGGTGGTTACCTCCATGCTGTTCTTGTGATAGAGAGTGAGTTCTCAAGAGATCCGATGGTTTTATAAGGGGCTTTTCCCCCCTTCACTCTGCACTTCTTGCTGCTGCCATGTGAAGAAAGGCGTGGTTGCTTCCCCTTCTGCCATGATTGTAAGTTTGCTGAGGCCTCCCCAGCCCTGCAGAACTGTGGGTCAATTAAACCTCTTTCCTTTATAAATTACCCAGTCTTGGGTATTTCTTCATGGCAGCATGAGAATGGACTATCACGGTAAATTGGTACCGCAGAGAGTGAGGTGCTGCTATAAAGATATGTGAAAATATAAAAGCGACTTTGGAACTGGGTAACAGGCAGCAGTTGGAAGAGTTTGGAGGGCTCAGAAGAAGACAGGAAGATGTGGGAAAGTTTGGAACTTCCTGGAGACTTGTTGAATGGTTTTGACCAAAATGCTGATAGTGATGTGGACAATGAAGTCCAGGCTGAGGTGGTCTTAGATAGAGACGGGGAACTTGTTGGAAACTGGAGTAAAGATCACTCTTGCTATGCAAAGAGACTGGCAGCATTTTGCCCCTGCCCCAGAAAGCTCTGGAACTTTGAACTAGAAAGAGATAATTTAGGGTATCTGGTGGAATAAACATCTAAGTGGCGAAGTGTTCAAGAGGAAGCAGAGCATAAAAGTTTGGAAAATTTGCAGCCTGACAATATGATAGAAAAGAAAAAGCCATTTTCTGGGGAGAAATTCAAGCTGGCTGCAGAAATTTGCGTAAGTAACAAGAAGCCAAATGTTAATCATGAACACAATGAGGAAAATGTCTCCAAGGCATGTCAGAGACCTTTATGGCAGTCCCTTCCATCACAGGCCTTGAGGCCTGGGAGGGAAAAATGGTTTCCTGGGCCAGGTCCTGGGCCCCCCCTGCTGTGTGCAGCCTCAGGACTTGGTGCCCTGCATCTCAGCTGCTCCAGCCATGGCTAAAAGAGGCCAAGGTATAGCTCAGGACATTGCTTCAGAGGGTGCCAGCCCCAAGCCTTGGCAGCTTCCATGTGGTGTTGGTCCTATGGGTGTGCAGAAGACATGGGATTTCAGAGGATATATGGAAATGTCTGCATGTCCAGGCAGAAGTTTGCTTCAGGGGTGGAGCCCTCATGGAGAACCTCTGCTAGGGAAGTACAGAAGGGAAATGTGGGGTTAAAGCCCTCACACAGAGTCCCCACTGGGACACTGCCTAGTGGATCTGTGAGAAGAGGGCCACCATCCTCCAGACCCCAGAAGGATAGCTCCTCTGATGGCTTGCACCATGTGCCTGGAAAAGCCACAGGCACTAAACACCTGCCCGTGAAAGCAGCTAGGAAGGGGGCTGTCCCCTGCAAAGCCACAGGGGTGGAGCTCCCAAGGCTGTGGGAATCCACCTCTTGCATCAGCATGACCTGTGAAATATGGAGTTAAATAAGATCATTTTGGAACTTTAAGGTTTAATGACAGCCCTGTTGGATTTCAGACTTGCATAGGGCCTGTAGCCCCTTTGTTTTGGCCAATTTCTCCCATTTGAAATGGGTGTATTTTCCCAATGCCTGGACCCCATTGTATCTAGCAAGTCACTAACTTGCTTTAGATTTTACAGGCTCAAAGGCAGAAGGGACTTGCTTTGTCTCAGATGAGATTTGGACTTGGACTTTTGGGTTAATGCTGGAATGAGTTAAGATTTTAGGGAACTGTTGGAAGGGCATGATTGTGTTTTGAAATATGAGGCCATGAGATTTGGGAGGGGCCAGGGTTGGAATGATATGGTTTGGCTCTGTGTCCCCACCCAAATCTCATCTTGAATCATAGTTCCCATAATCCCCATGTGTCATGGGAGGGACTGGTGGGAGGTAATTGAATTATGGGGCAGTTACCTCCATGCTGTTCTCATGATAGTGGGTTCTCAGAAGATCTGATGGTTTTATAAAGGACTTTTCTCTTGCTTTACTCTGCACTTCTTCTTGCTGCTTCCATGTGAAGAAGGACACGTTTGCTTCCCTTTCTGCCATGATTGTAAGTTTCCTGAGGCCTCCCCAGCCCTGTGGAACTGTGAGTCAATTAAACTTCTTCCCCTTATAAATAACCCAGTCTTGGGTATTTCTTCACAGCAGCATGAGAACAGACTAATACAGTCATGGAAAGGAGAAAGAATCCTGCCTCATCTTTAGCTCCCAAATTCCTATGAAATAGGTACTAGGGATAGCTCGGTGTCTTAGGGAGGTGGAAATAAAGCCCAATGGTCCAGGTAAACTCATGCTGAGTTTTTGTTTGTTTGTTTCTCAATGCCCAAACTCCATAGTTAGGTGATAGAGTGGGTGAAAAATAATGGTGAATGTGTCTTGTAAAGAGAAAAAATTATGGAGAAGTAGGGGAGGGAGCAAAAGGTTCACCCATACTAAAGTACTCTGAGGTAAACTTTTGTCTTTGAAGACACTAAGAATATGAAGCAAAGAGAGATAAAGCAATAAAGGAGCAAGTAAACATAGAAGACTAACCTAGAAGGCTCCCTGAAGAGAAAACAGACAATGGAGGGGAAGAAATTGGCAAAAAAAATAACATTTCCCAGAATGAAAGACATCTTGTTTTTATTAACTGTCCTAGGAAATGCTGAGAAAGATGAATGAAAAAGAGAGCACACCCAGACACACTGCTATGAAATATCAGAACTTCAAGGTGAGAGAGAAGACTATAAAGAGATCTAGAAGCAGACTGCCTTCAGACTTCTCTTAAGGAATCTAGAATGCTAGAAGCCTATGAAACAATCCCTTTAATATACTAAGAGAACATGATTTTCATTGTAGAATGTATGCTTAGCCAAATCACTATTTAATATCAGGACAAAATAAGAGCATTTTTAGAAATGTAAAGGGCTCAACATTTACATACCATGTTTCTCTTTTGAAAAATTTACTTGAGAATGTACTCCAACTAATTAAGGAAAAAGGAATTCAAGAAAGAGAAAGTAGGGAAACTAATGTACCTAACCTTCAAGTGGCAGTAACTTGAGGCTCAGCTCTGTGCAGGTTTAAAGAGTATCTTTCTAGAAGAATACTGTCAAAAATAAGAAAGTTGGCTTCTCAATGCAAAATGTATGATCAAGAGGCTGGATATACTTAACAATATAGTGAAGAAATACGCTTTTATTTAAAAGATGCTTTCCTTGTTTATGAAATATCCTAAGTATTTTATGATACAAAATCTTATAAAATAGCCTAAGAAACACATAATACCATAAAGGAAAGTTAATAGCCAAATACCAAGTCAATTAGAACATGACAAGATTTTGAATAATTGATGGAGATAAGTGAAGACTTTAGATGCAAGGAACAGAAATCTTCAAGTGGCAAGAGATTAGCATAAAACTGTGTTGCCTTTTTGGAGGGTCCAATCACACTTCAAGGCTGGGTAGTTACTAATTTTTTTACAAAATTACAATATTGTAATAGCAATAACAATAGCTCCACATTCGAGTTCCTAACAAGTGTCAATGATGTGATAAGGCAATTCATTGATTATCATGAAAACCCATGATTACTACAAATTAACAGATAAAGAATCTAGGCACAGAAAGGTGAAATAATTTGCTGAAGGCTACTCTTAACCACTGTACTCTAATATTAAAAAGTCTTCTTGGCTAATGCGATTGGGATCAGTTAATTGAAAAAGTCAGTTAAACCAAAAACTGCCTCCGCTTAAACCTTATTTTATTTTAATGTAAATATTTTATTTTTACTGAAAACATTAACTGAGCTTTTGACAAAGGGTAATGTTCTTTTCTTTGAATATGGGTCCTCTGATTATATTTTTGTGTTGGCTTTTTACATAAAAAAATACCCATAATGCAGTTTTGTCTGTGTGTTCAACTTGCATTTCCTTAAAGTAGAATAAGAAATTAAAAATATTTGTGGAGCAATCTGAGAAGAAAATCCTTCTAGGTTTTTACCACTGTCTTCAATCTTTCACAGTTTTTCTCCATCCTAATTTACCAGCATTTTTAAAAATAACTTCACTGAGTCTTACAAAGCATTTGATTCAGTTTGGGAGCAAAAATAGCTGCTTCTTAGTAAGTATTCAGCTTAACATATATAACATATATATAAATATATATGTTAGGCTGTGTGTGTGTGTGTGTGTATATATATATATATATACACACACATACATATATAATCTAAAGTTGGTAAACCAAAAATTAAAGTACATTATTTACAGAATAGTGGGAATTATCAGAAACCTAAAACTAGAAAAGGGTAAATAAAAATGGTTGCCTCTGGGAGTGGACCCACAGGTCCATTCTAAATTAAAGCTTTCTCTCTCTCTCTCTCAATCTCTGTTTCTCTCTCTCCTTTGGTAATGTGTGTGTGTGTGTGTGCGTGTGTGTGTGTGTGTTTTAACACGGTGCATATATTACTTGGATAATTATTATTAAAAATTATAAAATGTAGAGAAGTTAAATGTAATTTAAAGAAAACATGCTTTAAATTAGGAGGCTGAAACATTCCAAATTCTGACTCACAGGGATCCATAAAGGGATCAAAAGGGGCTGTGTCTCAAGGGAAACAACTGCCAGAAAGCACAGGACAGCACCTAAGAATGTTTCTCCTCTCAGGGACTTCCCACCATGCTGCCTACAGGCTACTCCAGGTTGGAGGACCCCGATGGCCACTGAAGACACCTCTAGGCTGGCAAGCGTGCACACAGTACTCAGAGAGGTGCACACTAGAGGAGCTGTAATTAGGTACTGCTGGTCATCAGCACCTTGGAGCCTGGAGTTCCTAACCTGACATCTGTCTACCTGACTGTCTCTGTGAACTCACACCTCCATATTTACCTGGGCAAAGGATATTTTATAAAACCCCTCAGTCATGGTTCCATTTTTTTTGCCCTGAGCCAGGACCATGGAATCAGTTGCACATCCCCTTAGGAGATTTGTATGCAATCAACTTGGCTTGAAGAGAGCATGGAAAAATAACATAAATGTTCTGAAATGGGTTTGGCATTTCCTCTCAGCCAAAAGATTATTTGGTTTTATGTTATGTTCTTTATAATATGAAAGAATGTTGCTTATTTTCATTTTATAAAGTAAAATTTTATTACATTATTAGGAGAAAAGTTTTCTTACCCTAACCTGGAATGAGTGGACTCCATAAGAATTTTTACTTGAGATAGTATTTGAGGACCTACAGAAAATCTCTTATGGCTGAAATAGCAGCCAAGTTGCTGGGTCATGGCCAATGTCCACAGCAGGAAGAACAGTTAGCAACTTAAAGCAATTTTGTGTTTATATTTGTTTGGCAAGCAAAGTCCTGTTTAAGTATCCCCTGTGTCATAATTACAAAGGTCAGTACAGAAAATACTGATAGAGCCCAGGTACCTACAGTGGGAAGTTCCAAGACACTTCTGGAAATGCTCTTGGGGAGCAGAATGAACTTATTTAACAATTTGCTTACAAGCATAACAGCGAGAAAACAGGAAGAGAGAAAATAATTGTGCACTAGAAGTATATAGCTTATTCTATTACCATCCAAAAATTCTATCCAAGAAACAACCTTGCACAGCACTGTCTGTTTTTAATAAGAATTTACACAAAAGTGGTGGCTCAAATCCTCATATCTTTCTATGTGGCAGATAGTCTCAAACTTTCAGCTCCAAAAATTTTTACACATCAAATAAATTCTATATCTGGCTTTGTGTAAATGGCTCCAAAAATCTACTCTCATGGCCACAGCTAGGCTGCCATCGAATTTTAATTGCAAACTGAATACCCTTTTACAGAACAGGTGTAGAAGAAAGGAAGTGGAAATGTAAAAAGCAGTAATATCATAACATCACTGTATTCTGAAGGGCTTGTAGAAAGTGTCAAGGTATCAAAAACAGTTTTGCTGAAATCAGTAGGATGCAACATGAGAGGGGTACCTTTACATGTCAGAATATCTACTGATGCAAAACACAGAGCTGGCAAAGAGTATGAGTCATAAATAGTTTCCCAGACATGACAGAGGAAACCTGTTCTATTGGATCTGATCTCATCTGTTTAGGAATTCCTCTCATTGTGATGCCCAGGGGCAGGACACATTTGTCAGACATGATACTGTTATGCTCTGGTTTAGAGGAGCTGCATTTGTATGCAAATATAGAAATGTGCCTGAGTATCATACATATGCTCCTGCATAAAAGCAGGGATATAACCCCGTCACATATCTGTGAGTTCAGAAAATCTGCCCATTCAGTAGTGAATTAGACTCAGCTCACAGAAGCTCATAAGAATCAACTTAAATTTTCAGGAATTTTGAGAGCTGATTATTAAACACAGCCACCATGAAAAACTAAATTATATAAATGTAAAATTCAATAAACTATGCTGAAAACAAAGGTAATATTCAAAAGTCAAAGGTGATATTCAAAGATGATTCTCAAAAGTTATCATTTCCTACTCATTTAACTACAATTTATTGTCTATGCTCTCAGTGTTACTTACATCTCTAGTATCTTCTTCTTCTCCACTTACGTCTATAGTATCTTACTTACATCTATAGTACTTACATCTATAGTATCCCTTCTTCTCCACCTGGAAATACCAGATATTGATGCACTACTGCACATCTCTTCCCAGCTCCACGGTCAGCAATATCTTATTGGTAGCTTGAAAACAGCCAGGCTGGGAGCACTTATACCACAAAACTTGCAAACACCACAAACCAAGGTTTTATTTATTATTTTGTTAAGGTCTTCTGAAAGTGACGTTTTATGAAAGTCTTACGATAGTGCTGGAGAAAATGTAAATAACAGATGAAAAGTGTGTCTTGTCTGTAGACATTACTTTGTAAACAGCACAAAATATTGAGGACATATTCTTCCAATATTAAAAAACTATTATCTGATTCAAGAAGTTGCTCAGATTATTGATGAATAAGTGAAGTTCTGACATGTGTCATTGTTTTACTTTCCTCTTACTTGTTCATATAAATGAAGCTATCAACCAACAGGCTTGTTGGGCCTACACTCATTTGTCAGCTGCAACCTAAGGTTGCTATGGATACAGGAGTTTGACAAAAATCAAGAAAAGCATTCTGTGAGAATCAATTGTAATGTAATCAATAAAATGCAATGTGTATTTTATTATGAATTGTGCACCGCACAGCATTTATATGAGTAACACTTAAAATAAACGTATGCGTGTATATTTATGCATACCTTTTCTATTCTGGAGAATTAGTTGTTTACAGATGTACTGATACATCCCTGCCCCCAATCCAGGCAGCATGGAGACTGAGTTTCTCAAGGAATTGTGTAGAACTAAGTTTCTTTCAGTATGCCTCATTGCTCTTCACCTAAGGTCTTTACCTGATGCAAAATCCCATTTTACTGCTCAAAAGATTTGCCTCATCAGCTCTGCTTTTGCAGCATAAGTGGCTGTCACCAGATGGCATTTGGGTTGGGCTTGACCCAGGGCAATTAGATGTAGAGGAAGATCAGAAATTTCTGGGTCACAATCATATATAAAAAATGAACCTGCTTATGAAACAACTAAAGACTTTCTCTGTTTCTCTAACTGGGTAGCTTTCCTCACAGCAAATAATCTTATCTTTGAAGCAACGGTTCTAAAATTTATATGTGCTTGGTAAGTATTTGGGAAGCTTGTTAAAAGTATAGATTCCTGGGCTATGCCTCCAGAGATCATGATTCTGGATGGGGCATTTTAAATAAATACCCCAAAGTATCTCTGAAGGCGGGAGGTGGTCATGGTTCTCAGTTGGGGAAATGCAGTATTAGGGGACACTCTGCACCTAGAGCTGGTAGATTATCTAAGCTTCCCGCTGCCTTAAGCAGATTCTATGTGGCTCCATCAAGCTGCCCATAAGGAAGTATCTTCCTGCTTCTCTGGCATGAGCTTCACCCCTCCTATTCTTTCCTTGAGTCAGTTTTTTTGTTCTCAACGGAAAAAAAGACATATTGGTTATCATAAACTGCCCAATAAAAATATTGCTGAAGTCAAGACAGACTCTATCAATAAGAGAAGCATGGAAGTTTACCAAGACTTTGTTTTACTAAGCTAACTCTCCAGCATCTTTCCTTAGTGCTCTCAAACCATCTGCTAAATTGGCTTAGGACTTTGCCAGAGATGGACACCAAGCTCACAAGCCTTGAGTTTCTAGGGTCCACATACCCTCCACTGTTGAGAACTGGGCCAGCTCCCCAACTTTATCTGCTGGCATTGCTCCTGCCTCTGTTGGATGTTTTCTGGCATCTGTTATCATTACTCCCTCTCCCTAGGCAGAGAGATATCTTCCTTCCTGATTCAAACATAAATTAACATACATTTTTGACTATTCTCTAGATGTTTCCAAAACACCAATTCTTTCTGGGTATCAGCACTCCTGAAAATATCTTCACAGAATATGCCTCCTTAAAGTTCCTAGGTGTAGTGCATGGACCCTTCATTTGTGTGCTCATAACCCTTTACATTTGTGCTCATCAGTATTAGTTTCCAAGTTAACGCAGTCTCCCCTTCTTCTCCACTTGTAAGAATTAGAATGTGAGAATCTAAAATATCTTCCTTGTTTTTTAATCCTCTTAAGCTACTCGGAATCTTGCTACTTAAAACTATACCTAGTTTTATTCATTCAAAATTTTCTCCGTATTATAGAACACAACAACAGTTATATTCAACTAAATCAAGTCAAATATCAAGTAAAATGTAATAAAGAACCACCCTCTTTAAACCAGGTACCAGAGTTACTGCTCTTTGCAGTGGGAATGAGGGGCAGCTTCAGTTTCACTTCTTAAGTCCACCTGTAGGTGGCCCCAAGACAATGTTGCAGAATCTTAGGGCTCAGTAAAACAGTTTTAAAACCACTGTGCAGCTTCACTTACCTCAGTTTGGGATTGGTTGCTATGGTTTGAATGTCTCCTCCAAAACTCATGTTGAAACTTAATCACCAATCTGGTAGTATTGAGAGGTGGGGGCCTTTAAAAGAGGTGATTGGATGATATGGGCTCTGTCTTCATGAATGAATTTGTTATTTATGGATTAATGGGCTAATGGATTAATAGGTTATCATGGGAGGGGAAGTGATTGCTTTATAAGAAGAAGAGAGGCCTGAGCTAACACATTAGCATGCTCAGCCCCCTTGCCCTGTGATACCCTGCCTCGACCCAGGGCAATTAGATGTAGAAGAAGATCAGAAATTTCTGGGTCCTTACACCACCTTGGGACTCTTCAGAAAGTTCCCACTGGCAAGAAGATTCTCATCATATGTGACCTCTCAACCTTGGACTTTCCAGCCTCTATAACTGTAAAAAATAAATTCCTTTTCTTTAGAAATTACTCAGTTTCAGATATTTTGTTATAAGCAACAGAAAACAGACTGGCACACTTCATTTTCTCTGCCATCTACATTACATGGAGCATTCCTAGCTTTTAAGATGTCTACAGCATCATTAGCACTGTGCCTTTCTCAGCAATCTATGCATGCCACTGTGATAGAATTGTTCAACTTAAAATATTCTAGGCATGAATTCCAACAAGTTGATGATAAAGGTCTCCAACAGGAGCATTTGCTTTCACAGTGAAAATTCAGATCCTACATGCATGCTGAGGGAAAGAGCATTAAGTTTCAACTAGGCATACACTAATCCTGAAGAACTATTCATTGAGTCATATTGCCCACATGCCTAACATAATACACTTTATAATAAAAACACAATTACTTTACTGCTGAAAAAGTGCCCTTTTCTTCACATTTGAGAAAATGCTTCAAATTCATAAGACAAAAAAAAATGGATGTAATCTTCTCTTGTTCCTATTCCCCCATTCTCTTTTTTCTGTTTAGATTTTGTTAAGTCGACTTTTGAACTTAATAGGACAACAGGGAAAGTAAGACATGAGCACTTGCTGAAAAGCAACAATGCAATGTTCAGTAACACACAGCACATAATGAATTCACATTTTGCAGATTACACTAATATTTTTCAGATTTTGGAAATGTAATTTTATGCCATAACTTGATGACAATGACCAGAATTCAGCCAGAAATCTATCTCGATGGGTCATTCATTATTCTTTCATTTATTCAAACGTTTATCAAATCCTCACTATGTTTCAGTCATGGAGTTAGATGAAGAGAATAAAAAGATAAATAATACACAGTCCTTTCCCTCAGTGAGTTCCAATCTGATCTAATGAAGGAGGCAGACACATGGCAGATAATGTTTGTTTGTTTGTTTGTTTGTTTTTTGTTTTTTGAGATAGAGTCTCGTACTGTCACCTGGGCTGGAGTGCAGTGGCGCGATCTCGGCTCACTGCAACCTCCACTTCCCAGGTTCAAGCAATTCTCCTTCCTCAGCCTCCCGAGTAGCTGGGATTACAGGCGCCTGCCACCACACCCAGCTATTTTTTTTTTTTTCGTATTTTTAGTAGAGATGAGGTTTCGCTATGTTGGCCAGGCTGGTCTCGAACACCTGACCTCGTGATCCACCCGCCTTGGCTTCCCAAATTGCTGGGATTATAGGCATGTGCCACTGTGCCTGGCTGGCAGATAATGTTTTAAGTATAGGTACAGTGCTAAGGAAAATGCAAAAGAGCACAGGGAGTTTAGGTGACCCCAAAACTGATGCTTAAAAGAATGATGAGGGAGAATCCACCAGGAGGGGGAAGGCAGAGGGGAAAGACAATCATTTTAGGCTGAGGGGACAGCTTAAGAATGGAGGCAGGAAACTGTGGGGCACACCCTGCAGTTAGTCTAACGCAAGGGGTGCACCTTATTCCACCAGATTCATTCCACCTTATTCCACCATATTCTCACGTGTCATGCTAAAGAGCTTAGACTTGATCCCATAGTTGAATGGGCCCACTGAAGAGTTTCACATAGGAAAACAGCAGGGTCACATCTGCTTTTTAGAAAGACCACTCTGGCTTCCATTGAGGCTGGATTTGGGTGGTTAAAAACTGAGGCAGGAAGCACATTAAGAGGTGCAATAAGACAGAAGAGAGGTCTGATGGCTGGAAATAAGGTGATCATAGGGACAGAGATAGAAGACAGATCTGAGAAATTATTACGAGATAAAACTGGCGGGAACTGGTGACTGTTGGATATGGGAAAGTGAGGATGTGGTGATGGTAAAAGAAGTTTCTAGTATAACTCCAAATTTCCAACCTGAGTGACTGAGGGTGGGACTGGTGTCACCCATGAAGATAAAACATACAGAAATCAGTCTGGGGGTGGGGGATGGTGTATTCACTCACTTAATATTTGGACACCAGAAATTGGCTCAAACATAATAGTGAACAAGACAGATAAATAGAGCTTACATTCTAGTTGGGGGTGAGGCGCAAACAATAAACAAGTAACAAATATTATATAGATTCAGACACATATGATCTGAAGAGAAATAAAGCCAGGGAAGGAAAAGGCACATATGGGGACTTTTGGGGAAGGTGCTGACTGAACAGAGAGGATAAATGAAGTGAGCAGTGAGCCACGCGGGGCCTGTGAGAAAAACATTTCAGGTGGAGGAACAGCAGCAAGTGGAAAGGCCAGAATGAACTTGGGTTGTGGACACATTGATTTAGAGGCTCCTTCATCTATGCAAATGGAGATGTCCAGGAGGTGGCTAGATATACAGGTCTGAACTTCAGCAGTCTGGGCTGGAATATGAATCTTGAATTATCAGTATATTGAAGGCTGGTATGTTCTAGGATTGGAGAGGACAACTTGGGAAAAATGCATAAGTGACAGAAGAAATGGGTCACAGTAATATAAAAAATGCCAACATTTAAGGGGCAAGTAGAAGAAAAGAAACCCATGAAAGAAAATAGAATGGGATTTGGTGTTGCAAATTCAAGAGAACAGGAAGCAGTAATCACTGTTTCAAACACAGCAGGATTCCAACCACTGAAATGTGTCCACTGGGATTAGCAATTAGCAGGTCATTGATGGCTGTAGTTACAGCAGCCTCAGAGAAGTGGTGGGTGTGGGAATTGGACTAAGGTGGTTTGGAGAAGGTGGGGGAGGAAATCTATTTTATGAGCAGTGTGGCTGTGAAGAGGAAGACACCATTTGGAGAGGGGAGAGGTAGTAGAGAGAATAACTACACTGGCAAAGTTCATAGCTGGCTAGTCAGGGAGAATCTGCTGGAGCAGGGCTGGTGGACAAGGAGCACACCCAGAACTGGCTCAGAGGCCCTGCACACTCTGCTAGCTGGCTCTGTGCAGTCTTGGTGTGCAAGAACTAATTCCAACC
Organism: Homo sapiens; assembly: GCF_000001405.40. NCBI lineage: Eukaryota > Metazoa > Chordata > Mammalia > Primates > Hominidae > Homo > Homo sapiens. The sequence goes on along the minus strand of NC_000011.10, from coordinate 7,275,056 downwards.
AACAACCCAAACTTTACAAGGCCAGGATGGAGATACTAGATCACCTAGCATTCCTCACTCCAGTGGGTTGTGGCTTCCAGGAAGCTCTCCCAAAATCTGTGTGAAGAATCAGGTGTGATGGAAAACATTGTAACCAAAACTTCAAATAATGCTTGTTGACTGAGGAACGTGGCCATGAGGAAGAGGTTGGGGACCCACTGCTAGGTTTTCTGAGCAGATGGCCTTATGTGTGGCTGCTGCATCCTGTAAGGGAAAACTCCTCATTCTTCCATCTATACTATACAGCATCAGTTCCAAAAGTTCAAGCTGAGGTCCATTTCTATGCATCAGGTTGGGTGAGAAGTGAAGAAAAGGAAGACCTGCATAGTGATGAAGAGAAGGGCCCAGCTGTATAGGAAGAAACTAACTAAATAAACTAACATCATTAAAACATGAACTTGGCCAGGCACAGTGGCTCATGCCTATAATCCCAACACTTCCTGAGGCTGAGGTGGGTGGATCACGTGAGGTCAGGAGTTTGAGACCAGCCTGGCCAACATGGCGAAACCCCATCTCTACTGAAAATACAAAAAATTAGCTGGGCATGGTGGTGCACACCTGTAATCCCAGCTACTCGGGAGGCTGAGGCAGGAGAATCGCTTGAACCCGGAGGCAGAGGTTGCAGTGAGCCAAGATCGTGCCACTGCACTGCAGCCTAGGCAACAGAGTAAGACTCTGTCAAAAAAAAAAAAAAAAAAAAGATGAACTTCACACAGATATAAGGAAAGAGTGTAGAATCATGACTGATGTGTATTACAGAAACATGAATTTAGTCAACTAAGCTTGAAATGCCTTAATGAGGGGGCTCCACTGGAAGGAAAAGAAAAGTCAGGCTCTGACTAATCAAAGGCAGTTCTACATAGCACAGCAGGTAATAAACTTGTCACAAGACTTTATCTCAAACAGCATACAAGCCAGAAATAAATATAAACTCTAAACATTTTTTGTTTGTTTTACTTTAAGTTCTGGGATACATGTGCAGAACGTGCAGATTTGTTACATAGGTATACATGTGCCATGGTGGTTTGCTGCACCTATCAACCTGTCATCTAGGTTTTAAGCCCTACATACATTAGGTATTTGTCCTAATGCTCTCCCTCCCCTTGTCCCCCACCCCCTGACAGGCCCTGGTGTGTGATGCTCCCCTCCCTGTGTCCATGTGTTCTCATTGTTCAACTCCCACTTATGAGTGAGAACATGCAGTGTTTGGTTTTCTGTTCCTGTGTTAGTTTGCTGTAAACTCCAAAGATTTTAAAATAAATCCAGTAATAATTTTATTTTATTCAATGAAATTAGGTGCTTTGGAGACCTCTCTAATACTGGAGATTGAGTTTATGTAGGACAAGCTCTTACTTATCACTCACCCCAAAACCTCATTCATACACTTCCCTCAGACTACCATTAGGCCATGTCCTGGCCATGGGACTCACTTAGCAGCAATCTTCAAGTTCTTTTAAGCAACTCTTGTGATATCAGAGGGTAAACACTCCTGATTTTTTCCTAATTGCCTTCAGAAGAAATAAATACTGGGTTCTCTCTCGCACTTTAACTATGTTCTTCTTAAACTTTGCTCTCTTGGCTACATATAGTTGGGCCATAATTCCTTAACTATGCCCATCAAAATGTAAGGACATTCAGAAGAACCAGTCAAAAAACAAACAAACAAAAAACAAAAACACTAACAAAAGAAAAAAACCTCAGTATAGAATAATGAATGCAATCACTATCAAATTTCAAAATAAGATTTGAAACTCTTTTTTTCATTTCAGGCCCATATTTACAACTACAGGTACTACATACCTTAAATACACATTTCTAAAACCCAATTCAGTCTCTCTTTCTCATTCCCTCTACCTGCTCTTACTTCTGCATTTTATATGACCCAGCTGCCTAAATCAGAAACCTTAGATTTCCTTTATACCACTCTCCTACTGCATTTCATGTTCTATAGATTCTATCATAAGATAGATAACTATTAAGATTAGGATAAAATGTAAATTCTTAACATGACCCACAAGACCCTTATTTACCTCTCTGACTTTAACTGTCATTACATCAACAACCCCCCACTCTAACTTCCAAATTCAACTCCACCAATCCTAACTCATTGAGGGTCCCTAAGGTCACATGCCACTTCAAGCATTTAAACCTTTGCACATGTTGTTTACTAGAAACTCTTCCTCCAAATGCTTTACTGGAACACTCATTCCCATGACACTTCAGAGCTTATTTATTTCTTCTCTGGAGAAGCCTTTCTTGACACCACTTCCTCCAAGTTTGGGATAGGTGCCCCTCCTATGTGCTCCCAGATCAAACCACACTTTCCCTTATTGCACTGAGTTTCAATTGCCTGTTTACTTGTCTGTATCCTCCACGAAAAGGTAATCTCCTTGAGGACAAGGATCATGTCTTTCTTTTTCACAACCCCAGCACCAAGGACAGTGACCAGTCCATGGTAAGTTCCTGTTAAACGTGATGAGTGAATAGCTAGATTGCATTACATTGTCACTTAAGGTATGCAGAAGGAAAAAAAAACACCAATAAAAAGTCTGGAGGATAAAATGAAGTAAGAGGGGATAAGATGAAAAAAGAGGAGAGAAAACAATAATGGATAAGGGCACTAGAAGGTGGGTGGAGGAAAAGAAAAGAGATTAATGGAGGAAGTAAAAGAAAGCAAAAATAAAGAATGGGACAGAAGTCAGTTATGCCGATTTTTGTGAAACATTAAAAAGGCTTCCACTGAGGGGATTAATAATAGAACTAACACTAATTGATCTCTAAACGGCATGCTGTGTCCCAAAGTCATGACCTTACTCACGCCCTCAGTTCCCCTATAAGCATTATTATCCTCATTTTGCAGATAAGAAAATTAAGACACCAAGAAGTTAGGTAATTCTCCCCAGATTATACAACTATTAAGTGGTGAGGCAGTCTTTGAATTCAGTTTACATGGACTGCCCAGGATATGTGCTGCTCTTGTTTATTTAGGAAGTATTTAAATGTAGAACAAAAGCAGATTCAATGGTAAAAGACTCTAAGAGTCCAATTTATACATGAAGCTCTGATTTACCTTCTTACAGCTCAGCTTCTGCATTTTTTCTCTAAATATCTATACCTTATAGTTCATCCAAGACCAAGCACAGGCCAGGTGCGGTGGCTCATGCCTATAATCCCAGCACTTTGGGAGGCCGAGGCGGGCAGATCATGAGGTCAGGAGATTGAGACCCTCCTGGCTAACACGGCGAAACCCCACCTCTACTAAAAATACAAAAAATTAGTCAGGTATGGTGGCACGTGCCTGTAGTCCCAGCTACTTGGGAGGCTGAGGCAGGAGAATGGCATGAACCCAGGAGGTGGAGCTTGCAGTGAGCGGAGATAGTGCCACTGCACTCCAACCTGGGTGACAGAGCAAGACTCCATCTCAAAAAACAAAACAAAACAAAACAAAAAAACAAGCAGAATATTCTGAAGTCAGCAGTAGTTAAAATTCTATGTAGGACTGAAATCAGGGGCATCCATTTCTCCCTTGCCCCTCCAGGGAAATGCATGACTGGCGGGCCTGGGCCAGGGACCTGGGACACATCTTGGTACAATGGATTGCTCTTGCTACAGACCCAACAGGATATAGGAGTGTTGCTTTTGAAGCAAATAGCAATCCATTGTACACAGTCCAGCACTGGGCTGTGCATGTTCTAGCAATAACCCTAAAAATGTTAACTTCTGGGAGTGCAGAGTTTGTAGCAGATATGGTCCTCAGGTTAGGCACCTATCAGGATGAAAGAAAAATGCTACCTAAATTGACATCAAAAGTGGGCTTGGAGCCAAAATATATATTATATTATTTTATATTGAAAAAATGTGTTCTCCATCTTTTCCCAAACTTCTATAACAATAAAATAGCTTTGTCATGACAGTTAACATTCGCAGATGTGAGAAAAGAAAGGCTACTTCACCAGCCAAATAATAGTGACTATTATGCTTCAGATTCCTTTATTTATATAAGTCTTCCCTCTCCAAGCAGAAGCACAGTTCTTAGAGGCAGAGCCCTTTGCAGTCTTCCTTCGTCTTTCTCACTTTTACATTTATTAGGCTTTGCAGTTACCTGCAAAAACTCTCCACACCTGATGACACTCTCTCCACATTATGTGTGTGTGTGTGTGTGTGTGTGTGTGTGTGTGTGTGTGTCTGTGTCTTGTGCATCTAAACATCAAAGTCAGTATCCTCTCATGGAAGCAGCTTTTCACAAGAAATTAATTTTAACTAATTCAATTCATCATCTAACAGTGGTTACCAAGGATACCAAATAGCCAAAGGCCACTTGGCTCCAACTTGCCTGTTAAATCAGAAGATATTAACAGAAAGCTGTGAAGAATTATTGTTGTCTAAGTAATATGGCTAGAAACCAGGCCCCCTTTCAATGTCCTGAAGTCCTGAACTCAGTTCAAGATACTCATCTATAATAACCACTAAAAACATGCAATTTTTTTTCTAGAATTTGAAATTCACTGATTAGCATTTAGAAAAATGACCACTAATGGGTTTGCTTTAATTCACTTCCTGATGAAGCACTGAACTGAGAATGGCTACTGATTTGATCTTCTTATCGATCTGAAAGCAAACGATTCTCACTGTGGCAGTTAATTGAGTATTCAGGTAATCTAGCTGAATCTGTCCTAAATCAAACAGCCTATAACAGCGTTTATGAGCTGCATTTAACAGATGAGCCTAAAATGTGCCCTTGAGGGGAGAGAATTAAAATAATAATGCCCCATACAAAAAAATGTACCTTCTTGCTAAAAGGTCAACATGGTTTAAAATATATATTTATATAATAAGAATAAACATTGTCAATATGGTATTATTGTACATTTAAGGAGTTACCAAAGAATTGATACACTCTCTCCAAAAGGCACAGACAGTCAAATGTCTTACTAATTAATGTATTTCAGCAGTACACTTTAAGAATGTTAATTCTCTATCATTCATTGTTATTATTTTGTCCCATTTTTGGTTTGTCTTGCTGATAATGAACTTTGCAAAATAAAAATGTTCCTGCTGTTGTGCTTCTCAGAATCTGTCAACCTTGTCTTTTATGGTTTTTGGCTTTAGGGTCACGCTAAGGAAGGCTTCACCTACTACAAAGATCACAGACACTGGTAGTTGCCACCCCATATCTGTTTTTCCCCTTTTCCAAAATAACAACTTAAATTGCATTTGAAGTGACAATTTATCAAGCTAAAAGACTACATTTCTCAACCTTCTTGTAGCTAGGGATGGCAATATGACTAAATTCTGATCAATGAGATGAAAGCACAAGTATAGAGTGGGACTTCGAGAAAGGTTACTCTAGAAGAGTAGACTCAGGTCGAAAGTGAGGTTTTTGTCTCTCTCAGGGATGTAAATGTAAGTGCTGGAATTCCAGCAGCCATATTAGCCCATGATGTGACTTTGAATTTGAAGTAATGCACTAAAGAAGGCAAACATAGAAAGACAGAAAGAACCTGAATCTTAAGACTACCTAGAGACTCTCAGACCTGGGCAGACTACTCCTAGGTCTCTTTACATGAAAGAATTTTAAAAATTTACCTCTGTGTCTAACCTGCTGTTATTGTTTTGCTGTCATCTATACAGTATTCTGATGATAAAATGATTATCACATAATTTCCTTTGGAATTTTAGCAGTTATATTTGTAAAATTTAAACCACATGAAAAATTTCAGGAGCAGGCATATAATGTTTTTTCCCAAATAGTTACTCAATTATCTCAACCCCATTTGCTGAATAGCCCATTTCCCACCCCCCCAACTGATTTGAAATGCTGTCTTTACCAGATACTATATTGCCATGTCACAATAGCACAAAATTGGAAAAAAGCCAAATGTCCATCAGCTGGTAAATGAATAAATAAAATGAAATACATCCATCTAATGGAATACTAATCAGTAATAAAAAGGAAAGAACTAATGACACGTGCTATGATATAGCCAGGCCTCAAAAACATTATGCTAAGTGAAGGAACCCAGTCACAGAAGACATCACATATTGTATGATTCCATTTATATGAAATGTCTAGAACAGACACATTAATAGAGACAGAAAGTAGATTAGTAGTCTCCTGAGGCAGGGATTAACAGAGAATGGATATGAGGAAACTTCCTGGAATGTTGAAAAGGTTCTAAAACTGATTTATAGTGATGCTTGCACAACTTCATACATTTACTAAAAAATAATTCCATTGTACACTTTCAGAGTGAACTCTACAATATGTAAAACACGTCTCGATAAAGTTATATTTTTAAAACCAGAGAATGACTGGAGATAGAGAAAAATGTGTCAAGTTTGTGACTTATGTTGCATACATCGTCAAAAGTTAAAATAATTATATATATAAAACAACAACCAAAAAACCTATTACTGTAATACTAGGCTTCCTAGTGCTTTACCATTCCTGTAGTCTTAAACCCCTACCAGGTTACAGTACATCAGTATTTTTAATACAAAGCTGTATTTGTTTTCTATTATTTACAATATATTTATATGCTTAACTGAGATTGGTATCAAGATTTTTTTACTATTGTCTTTGTCAGATTTGATATTAGTGTGATACTAGCCTCACAAAGTAAATTAGGATGCCTTCCATATTTTTTCTATGCCACAGTATAGTTTTTACAGTATATGAATTGTTAAACCTTTCTAGAGGACAATTTGATAATTTTATATCAAAATATTTAACGTGCATAAGCCTAGCAATTCCACTTCTGGTAAAAGTATTAACAGTAATTGTTAATGGAAGTGCTGATGACCTTTAATTCTTGTGCTCACTGAAAACTTTTGTTGCAATGACAACTTAAAACAAATTTGTAATGACTATTTGTGGTTCCGACAAATAAGAGGGCTGATGTAGTACTTAATATTTTGTTAAACTTAACCTATAAAAATATTTAGGCCTATACCTTTTTACACAGAAAGTTCTTTGACTACCTTTCAATTTCTTCTAAATATTTTTATACTCACTCTGAGATGTTTATGACTTCCACTCAATTTGTATTTCTACATCATTGGCATGTATGCCATTTTCTTGTGCTTTCTATTGTCTTCTGTATCTGTTATTAAATCCTCTTTCTTATTCTTTTTGCTTTATATTTGTGTTTTCTCATTTTTTCCTTGATCAGAATAGCACAATATTTATTTATTTTTTATTTCAGAAAGACACACCTGGGTTTTATTTATTAACACTGCTTCTTTGGGATTTTTCACTTTCTAATTCAGTAATTTCTTCTTTTGGTTTTATTGATGCTTTGCTCTTATTTTTTTTTCTCTTTTGATTTGCTTTACCTTTCTATTTTTAGGCTCTTAACTTCAATGCATTTTTTTTTCTATTGCTGTATTTATTTGCTATTAACAACTGAGAATTAGAAATTGTCATCTAGATATAGCTTTGGTTATACTCCATTGTATTCTCAATGTCTATAATTTCAGTGTCCATTTCTGATTTTTTTTAACTCAAGAGATCTCTGAAAGAGTTCAATTTTTAAGTGTTTAGAGTTTTGGCATTGTTATTGTTACTTCTTAATCTCTCACTGATTATTTTATGGTCAGTAAATGTGGCCCATGCGATTTTTACCTGTTGGATTTAACTTTTCCTTTTTATTGTCATGTCTAAAAAATTAATCATGTGCTGATTAATTTTTTAAATGTTTCGTGAACATGATTTTTCTTTATTATTTTAACTCTATAACTTCTATCCTCTATGTATTTAGTCTAGTTGATGTATTCTATCAGTGAAGTATTGTAGTCTCCAACATAATTCTAATTTTTCTAATTTATAAAGTTATAACAAACTTGGTTTTATATATTCACATATTGCTTCATTAATGAAAAGTAAAAGTTTATGACTTCTAAGTCTTTACAGTTTATTGTACTATTTATGAACCTAAAATAAGTCTCACTTAATGATATATATTGTATTCAGTATGTTTTTTATAGGAATGTTAATTTAATTAGCATGAGGTTTTGGAAAAAGAGAAGATTAAAAACTATATAAATCAGTAGACAAATGTTTTACTATATTTAATGAAACTACTTCCTAAACATTTAAGGAATCAAGTACTACAAAGCTAACTCTGATCCTCTTCTGACAATCCCCCATGTTCTGATTGCATCATTAAGGCCACTATTTACTACTCACTTTTCTCCAGGAGTTTCCCTGGGTCAAATCTGATGATTGTCTGTAGCACTATGGGACACCACTGCAAACCCTAAGACATCACATTTTACAACAAAGGCATATGAAGTAGAGCTCCTGTTTTGTTACTCTGCCCAATTTAACTTCCCAGTTTCCACATACTGAGGCACTGGGAAGGCAGATGTGATTGAATTACTGAAGCATAAGATAATACAAAAATTAAAAGATAAAAAAAGAAGACAATGCAATCGAAAAGAGCTGCAGTTTTAATCTTTATCAGCGTGCAGAGTGGATCCTCTCTAACTGAACCTGTGGGGATTAGATTTTCCCCCAGAGCAGCCTACAGTAATCCACACATAAATGGCCTCTAAAGCAGTGTGGAGTTAGAATCAATGAATGTTCCTACCAAAGGCATCTGGAAGAAAAAAAAGAAACACTTTGGGGGACTTTCTAGTTCTCTTTGTAGATTCCCTCTGAAATAGATTCCATAAGATGATGAATCTGAGTTCCCTCAAAATTAAAGTAATACACACAAAGTACTTTAAAAGCCCCAGAAGAAGGATGACCTATAAATTCGGGATATTACAGTTATATTAAATCTAAAGTAGCAGTCACGGTGGAACAGATTAAAGAAGAGCAAGCAGCACTGTTTTCTCATTCCCTCTGAAATAATTTGGGAAGCCTTCAGAGCTAGCTCAGCTATGCCAACAATTGACATCCATATTATCTAAAAAAATAAGAATGGAAATATGTTTAACTTGGGATCCTCTGAATCCCAAGTTAAAAGTGATTCTAATGTGGCCTCCTCATTCTTGTCCAGCTTCTTTCTCTGTTTCACAGGTTTTTCTGACAAGAAGTGAGCATATTGGCTAGGATGATTTATAGCCTACAGGAATCAAGCAACCATGTTATTCTCTAACCTCATGGCCTAGTTAGAGTTTTCACAGGGTTTATGTACCGTATGGTTATCCTAAAATAAGAACAAATGATAATCATATTACTTGCCTAGCGATAAAGAAGACCATGATTTTACTTAGGGCTAGGACACTACAGTTACATCCTACAGCTAAATTTTCTACAGAATTTATTAGTAATTGTGCCAATAGTAGCTGTACTTACAAATAATTTGAGATAATTCACTGTGGCTACAAAAAAAAAAAAAAAGAATCCATGATAGATAGTAAACACATTTTCGAGTTTGGGTTTCCTTGCCTAATATTTTATAAAAGTTTTACATAGACAGTTTGAGCATTTATTTTGACCAAGGGGCTGTAAAAAGTAATTGTAAACCACGAAGGCCGTAAGTGCATGTCATTTGCAACCCTAGCTGTGTAGAGGTATTTTAGGTGTCACCCCTGAAGGCTGACTTAGTCAATCTTGGGACAGGGCAGTTGTGTCTTCAAAAGTTCCTTAACTGATTTTGATGCATACCTGGAACTGGGAACCACTTTACAAAAATCTTTGAGTTGCAAGGGGCCTTGACATTCAATCGCTTTTCACCCTCCTTATTTCCAGTAACTTCTTCCCAGTTTTCCACCAGTCAACTGCCCTGGACATCTGCATGAGATGTCATACACATCCCAAACTTAATGTGTTTAAAATCAATCTCATTATTTTCCCACAAAATGTGCTTGACTTCCTGTGGTAAACCTAATAAGTTATAAGCACATCTTTCCAGGCACATATGCAAAAAAAATTGGGAATCAGGATCTCTCTCTATTTCATATCATTGTACTAATTATTTTATCTCTTAAATATCTCTTAAGGCATCTCTACTGACTTAAAATATTCCTTCAACACTTCTGCTTAAGTAAAAATTAATAGTTTACTGCCTGCTGCTGTTTTCTTTAAAAAACACCCAGCTTTAAATCTCATATTGTCTGAACACACCACTACACCACAACTGCCCATCCTTGTTGCAGACATCTATCATTCCTCAGGTCGCTTCCCCCACATTCCTGGGAGAGCCCAGTTGCTCGCTTACTGTCACTCTCTCCAAAACTACTTTTGTCATAATTCTCAGCAAAGCCAATATCCATGTCGATAACACTTCCAAAACCCTGGGCCTGTAGTTCTTTGAGCTCCTGTCTTCAATCATTTGTCCCCCTCTCCCCATCATGCCTCTCATGATCATGTCCTGGACGTGGTCATGTCAACAGTTGCAGCTCCTCCAGAATCTTGATTTCAAACATCTCATTCTCTGGCCCCCTTCTCCTCACTGCATTCTCAACAAGCATTCCACCCCTCCAGGACCTACAATCCATTAATCCTACCACGTCTTCACTATCCCTAATCCTTTTACATATCCGCTTTTCTCTCCTTACTCCAATGAAATTTCAGAATCAATCATTCCAATCTATTCTACATACCCTCAACTCTTTTGCTACTCTTTCCTTGTTCTCATACACACAACCCCGGCTTAAACACAAACTTCCCTCTCTTCCATGCCTGCAAAAAAAAGAGCTGAACATGGAAGAAACACACACACCTATGCTGATGGAAATTACTTTAAATTCATGATCGCCAACTTCAAGCAGGTGCTTAGTATTGCCTGGCAATTACACTTCCTTCCCTAATCCATTTGCTCTTCCACTCTCCTAAACATTTATAACTCTCTTATTTTCAAATTGCCATTACTTCCTAACCATCCTCACTCTCAGCTTATAACCTTGCTGCTTCCTATTTCACCAAGAATACAAGAGCAATCAGAAGGCAAACTTCTGCAAGATTCCCAAACCACATCTGCCCACCTGTGCCCATATATTCTGCCCTGACTTCATGACAATAAACAAACTGTTGTTGAAAAACCCACCTACTCAACCTACTCAGCACATCACTCCAGCAGTTTAATCCTCTACATCATTTTTCCCTCTCTCCAGCATACAAACATACAGTTATTTTGTCTTTCCTTTAAAAGCCATCCTTTGAATCAGTTTCTCCTCTCCTCTCCCTTCACAAAATAATTCCAAAAAATGGCTTATACTCTTTTCTCTCAATTTCTCTCCTCTCATTCTCTTTTAGAAAGACTCTAGTTAGACTTTCACCAGTTCCACTGAGGCACCACTCCCAAAATCATTCAGTTCAAGGTCACCAATTAGCCTTCATGTTATTAAATGCAATGGTCAGTTCTTGGTTGTCATCTTACTTGACCTATCAGGGGCATTTAACTCAGGGGATCCTTCCTTCCACCTAGGAATACTTTCTTAATTTCCAAGCCATCATGTTCTTGATTTTTCTCCACGTTACTTTCTGGTCCCTCTCAGTCTCCTTATTGGTTCCTGCACATTTCTCTGACTTCTAACCAGTTGTTTGACTTCTTTTCTATTTTTATTCACCCCTTGGTAAGTGTGAAGATCTGAATGTTTGTGTCCTCCCCAAATTTGTATGTTGAAACCTAATCCCTAGTATGATAATGCTAAGAGTTGGGGCCTTTGGGGAAGTGACTAGACTATGAGAGCAGAGCCCCCATGAATGGGATTAATGCCCTTATGAAAGAAACCCCTTCCACCATGTGAGGACACAGAGAGAAGGTGCTGTCTATGAGGAACACGCCCTCACCTGACACAGCATCTGCCAGCTCCTTGCTCTTGGACTTTCTAGCCTCCAGAACTGTGAGAAATAAATGTCTGTTGTTCATAAGCTACCCAGCTTATGGTAGTTTTGCTAGGGCAGTGCAAATGGACTAAGACAGTAAGCTCATCTAGATTTTTTGGTTTTAAATATCATCTATGTGCCTTTGGTGCCTAAATGCCTACACTGAACTTTCGGGAAATGTACCCAACTTCTCAACCAAGGATATCATTCTAGCAATCCTCCCCTCTTTATCCTATATCATGATTTTTTGTTCTGTACTAGTCATTCCCTTCACCTTGGTGCTGTTAAGTCTCCTAACTTACGAATAAATAAATAAATACAACCCTTGATCTCACTTCCCTCACTAGCAACTACTATGCCATTTATTTGCTCTTGTCAGCAGAAAAACTTAAAAGACTATTCTGTCTTTACTGCCCCAATTCCTCTCCCTTCAATCTCTTTTACAGCCATGCCAATCAGGCTCTTGTTCCCACCTCTCTATCAAAAATGCTTGTCAACATTACTTCCAATGACCCCTGCATCACTACCTGCAATGGTGAGTGCCCAGTCTTCATTCTGCTTGACCTAACAGTAGCACTTGACACAGCTGCTTATTCCTTCTTATTTGATCACCTTCTTCTTCATCCTGGGTTCCAGGTCAACACTCTTGCTTGGATTTTCTCTTTCATTTCTAGTCTCTCTTCATTAATCTTCCTTTGTAGTTCCTCAAGTTCTCTCTAGCCTCTTACCGTTGGACAGTTCCAGAACTTAGTGCGGGTCCCCTTCACTCTCCCATTCACTGTGCCTTCCTAGATAATTTCAGCCAGACCCATATCACATACATGCTGATGACTCCCATGTTTATACCTTCAGCCTAGCCATCTTTCCCAAACTCCAGGCTCATATATCCAGACGGCTAGTCTGTATCCCCACTGGGCTCACTAATAAGCATTTCCAATATCCCACATCAAGAACTGAGCTGCTGGTCATTCCCCTCAAAATTACTTCTCCTACAACTCTATTCTCCTAGCTGCTCAGGCCACAGTCTTAGTCTTGACTCCTCTCTGTCTTTCACACTCAATATCCATCTATTAGTAAATGTTGTCATCTCCACCTTCCAGCTACCCAGAATCTGACCACCTCCTACTATCTCCACTGCTATCACTCTGGTCCAAGCCACCACCATCTTTCACCTACATGATTACAACAGCTTTATAACTCCTCTCCCTAACTTCAACCTTCCCCTCCTATAGTCTGTTTTCTATGTGCTGGTCAGAGTGATCCTTTCTCTTCCTAAGTCAGATGTTATCTCTCTTCTGTTAAAACTTGCTAATGGCTTCCTATCTTACTGCAAGTAAAAGTCACTTTTTTAAAATGGCTTATAGAGGCCTACAATCAGTCTGCCATCACCTCTCTGACCTCATCTACTACTACTCTCTTTTTGCCAACCTCACTACAGTCATACTAACCCTTGGCTAATATCTGAACACGTCAAGCATGCTCCTGCCTTGAGACCTTTGTACCCGCCGCTCTCCTGCCTGGAACGCTCTTCCCCCTGCTACGTGTGTATCTTGCTCCCACATTTCCTTCTGACCTTTACTCATTTGTCAACTTCTCAGTGGTGCCAGTTTAGTCTTTATGTCTTGATCTCTTTCCATGCCTTGTTTTTTCCCTTAGCACTTACTACTATCTAACATACAATATAATTTATGTACCTATTATCATTTTCCCAAAATGTAAGTTTCATGAGGGCAAACTTTTAATTTTCTGTTTCATTCCCTACTGTATGTACAATACTGTGTCTAGGTATCTACATTTGTACATACCTAGGATAGAGCCTGGTACTTAGTAGATGCTCAATAAATATATGGTGAGCAAATAACTGGCATCCCCTACTATAACCTCTCCAATCAATGTTTATCCTGTCTCCAGAATACCTAATTAAGGGATAAAACTCACCTGAATTTTCAGCGTAAACTCTTTTAATGGTTCTGCAGTGCTACAGCTGATACAAACTAAGATGTCTTCAATAGGCAGGCATGTCCCAAAAATGTGATAAGCAAAGTGTACATGTATGTGGTGGGGACGAGGAGGCAGATATTAGAAATGGACAGCCTGTGACCCACTTAAGGGCATTCAATTCAATTATTTTTTAAAATTATGCCTGTTAATTGGCAGACCCTGTACACACAATAAAGAACTATCTCTACAGCGTGGCTTGGTGGGCACTAGGCAGGCCTGCCATGCGTATTCCCTCTTGGGCCCTATAACTTCAGAGAAAACAGACTGTGCACATCCACAGACTGGATAGTTACAATGCAGCTGAACACACTGCTTTTTCATTACTAAATAACCAGGCAAGGAAGCAAGATGTCACTGTTGGCATAGTCAGGAATTATATCTGGAATCCAGATGTTTGAACCAGATGACTAAACTTGCTAAAGGCAGTATTTACAACTATTCAAGGTAATTACAGTTGGGTTTCAGGGTGATATGTTGGGGATCTAAAATGGGTAAACTTCCATTCATTGATTCCAATCTGTTAGGACCTTACCTTGGACAGAAAGAACATATTTGCCAGTAACCTGAGTATATTTTCCATAAGGAACCAGGAAGACTTCAGAAGCTGCATTCATGGAACTGAAATCTCCTGGTGTGCTTTGCTTTGGGCTTATGATATAAATTGTACTTCTTTCAAGATTTCTGTGTCAGAGTGCTCCAGTTAGTCCTCAGTGGGTTTTTGGCAATGGCATACAGGGGCTTTCGTGATCTGATTTGACCATTGTTTACTAGAGCAGATCCATCTCTCAACATTGCCAACACACACTCAACTTACTGTTACCCAGGATCCATCCTCTTCTGTGTTAGGACCTTTGTAAATTCCTAGAATGCTCTTCCCACCAACTAGTTCCAGACAAACTCTTCTGCCCAAGAATAGACTTCTGTAGGAAGCCTCTGCAGATCCACTCAAGTCAGCTAATTACTTCTCTCCTCTTTTTTCTGTACTGTATCCAGTAGATATCTCCCTTCTTGATTTTATTAATTGCCATTATTGTTTTATGTCAATTCCATAGAGGCAGTAAGCATGTCTAATGTATCTTTGAATGACAGATGCCCAACCTTGTACATAGCACTTAAGGGGCCCTCAATAAATGTTTTTGGAATTTAACTTAATTATAACTAGAAAAGATTGATCAATTCAACGTGGTTAAGTAACAGCTGCACAAGGGTAGGGTGGGGTAGGTTGGAGTGGGAAAGAAAACATAAAGAAAAAGAGATTCAAATTATAACAACTTTTTCATATTTCATATAAATAAATGCAGCATTTTGCATTGGAAAAGAGTGTTACAACGAATCCCTATTTATTGAACCACCCCTGAAATTTCAAAAGACACTTTAATATAATGGGTTGATTATAGTCAGACAACCTGAGCTCATTCACTATACAATATTCCTTCTGTGAGCTAATTTGACAGAATATTTACATTCTAATTAATGGAAATTGGTAGAAAAAAACATTAAGATTCTCAAAAAATAAACTGGTACATGATAGAGAATGTGGTAGAGAACACAAAAAATTCACTTAAGAGTAAATATAAGAAGGTTCAAAACAAAAAATATTCAGTCTTACCAACAAAAAAAACACAAATTGAAACAACTAAGCAGCTGTTTAAACCATGTTAAATTAGCAACCTTTTGTTCACATTATACACCTAATGCTAGCGGATTTACTGTTGACATGTAGCAGGACTAACTAACATAGATCTACCAGAAAGCAATTAGGGCTCACTGTTTATAATTTATCATGAAAAAATTTTCCCAAAAGGAAACAGGGGACTATAAATACAAGACATTATTCACACTAAAAAAAAATTACAAGCTAGAATAGCCTCAAAAGAATGGTTAAATAAAAAAGGTATACCCATTCTTGGAATATACATAGTCATCACAACAATAATAATTACGTACTAATAAGTGTTAACAATGGGAAAATTATAATAATAGAAATAATGGCTAGTATTTATTGAGCATTTACTACGTGTAATTACTATGAGCATATACCAGGTACTATGGTATTTCGCATGCATTGCGAGATAGGTACTAGTATAGGGTTGTCAGCATCACAAATAAAAATATAGGATGCCCAGTTCTACTTCAATTTCAGATAAACAACAGATGATTGTTTTGTATAATTATGTGCCATGCAATATTCCCTGTCGTTTATCTGAAATTCAAATTGAACTGGCAGCCTGTATTTTATCTGGGTAACTAGTAACCCAGATACTAGTAATACATTTTACTGATGAGAAAATGAGGACACAGAGGTTAAATAACTTGTCCAGGAACACACAGCTAATAAGAGGTAATAAAATGCTAAGTTTACAAAAAAGTAGAAAGTAAATTTAGCCTACAAATAATTACAAATGGTAAAACATATACATGTTTGTGGACCACGGCTGAAAGGAAACATGGGCAGGTGATACTACCAACAACATCAATTTATTGATCATTTATTTGAGCATTTACTCTGGGCACAATGTTACAGCAATCTTCCACTCCCATTTTATAGATGAATAAAATGAAGAGTTAAATATTTTACTCAAGGTCACTAAGGTAGTAAGTGCAGTCAGATTCTAACTCCAAAGTCCTTGCTTATTCCACTTTGTCATCTTGATGTCCTAGAAGATTTTTTTTTCTTTCAAGTGCAGTTCTATCAATGTTGATTTAAAGTTTTTGTGTGATAAAATACATGTGCAAGGCCATATGAAGATTTCAAAGAGATCTGCAAAGCCTGGTCCTCAGGATTTGATGTGGTCTAAAGCCCTTCCTAGAGCCCACCAAATAAACATTTGAAAGAAAAGGAAGTCGTGATGCACATTTATTGCTCCAAGATTGCAGTGAAAACTGAAAACTTCTCCACAAATGGTGATTTTATTCAAACTTCATTCAGAAAATAGAAATACATACTCCATACTTGTCCTTTTAAAAGTGAGATTGCTCCCCCATTTATGCCTCTCACTAAGCTCCTCCACTTTCTCTATACACTTTGGAGTGTGAACTTGTTAGTTCCCTCAAGTCAACCTGTTAGGAAGAGATTATGAATGTTTTTAAGCCAACCATATGGGAAATTGCACTTGCAGCACAAACATAAAAGTGCCTCAATGCTACTTCAGTGAAAGCAACATCTATGCTCTATACATAATAGAAAATTTGAGGATGATTTCCTTTAGGTGTCAGTTTAATTTTTCCTTGAGAGTTTATCCCACATCAAAAAGTTTGTGCTTTTGATTGTTTATTTTGAAAGAGGCAGCTGGCCATAGGGCTGCCTGTGATGCCTTTACTACAATTTGCTTTTGTTTTCCCCTCTTGATAATTACCTCATGACTAAACCACTCACTGGTCCATGTAGAGGAGTCCCGCAGAGATGAAAACACACTTGTTTAAATAAAATATTTATGAAGGAGCCCTGAAATGTCACCGAAGTAAATGCAAATTAGATCTTCACATATTGTGCATCCAATATGCCACTCATTCCTTAGAAGACTCTTTTTCCTGATTGCAATTAACATTAATTTAAAAAAATTAATCCCATTGTGCATAATCACACCAAGGTCTATTCATAAACATCCAGTGTTTCAAGACTGATTCTCTTTTGACTACCTTAGAAAAATTTGAATCAAGGCTAATATTTAATCTTGATGATTATTTTGGAGATTTTTTTCATAGAAACTATATTTAATTATTATTTTACATGTACATTTTCTAATAAGTGACTTCATTATAATTTAACATAGGGTGACATTTGTGAAGGTTCTATATTCTGACCTTTTAATGACACACTATTTAGACAAGATTTTTCTTGATTTGTTTGTTTTTTCCCCTCTCAGATTGGTGGACATAATAGAGCCTTATGATATGTTCAATGAGCCCTTAAAAGAAAAATGTAGGATAACGTTGGGAAAAGAAAGTTAAGAATCAGTTGATATGGGCACTAGCTGTACAGGGTAACAGTCAAGGTTCCTAGTTTTTGATACTATCTTTCCTAATTTTGCAAGAAACAAATGTGAGCTGAGCTGAGAAGGGTTAGGCGGATGCATTCTTTGCCCAATGGTCTCAAAGGTTGTTCTCTACTTGGCTGCACATTAGAATCAATAGATGAACTTTAAAAATACTGATACCAGGCCCATTTCCCAGAGACTGTGATTTAAAACTGGTCTAGGGTGCAGCCCAGTCATTGGTAGTTTTTGTTGTTGCTGTTGTTTGTTTTTTCTTTGTTTGTTTGTTCCAGCTCCCTAAGTATTCCTAATGTGCAGCCAAAGTTGAAAACCATGACCTAGAAAAAGCTTTTCTTGAATAGAGTAATATTTACATGGAGAGAAGAATCACTAATCATGAGTCTTAAGGCTCTGCTTCATACTCTGACCTGCTGAACCTTTTCTAAACATTGGGTACAGACACAGAGAACATGCAGAAAAATCTCCAGAATATGGAGTTGGAACATGAATGGAAAACCAGTATCCTGGATAACAGAATTCATAATCAAAAATACTAAGCTGAATCTTTACAACTACATAGAATGTGACCTACACTTAGGGATTAAATCCATCATACAAGTACAGAAGAGAGAAAGTAGGTCTAAGGGTGGCTCTTATGAAAAACACCTAGAAAATTTTCATTGACAATAACTCCTCAGTTTTCAGTACATGTGATGTGACTACCTAAGAAGCTACTTTCACTTAGACCCAATTCTTCTTTTAAATGGACTCCATGGCCCTGGGCTAGTTTACTTCTCTGGACTTCAGTTTACTCATATATATCAATCACTTTTAGCCATGGTTCTTGAACTTTAATGTGCCTACAACTCTCACCTGAGGATCCTGTTAATATACAGATTCATATTCAGTGGGTCTGGGACATAACTGAGATCTCCAATTCTAACAAGCTCCCAGCAGCTGCTGCTGCTGCTGGAACACAGATAAGTGCTTAAAAGACTTGTGAGGACTAGTGAAATGACCTACATAAAGTGCTTGGCACAGACATGGTTGGCACCCTACAGAAGAAAAGACTTAAAAAGAAAATGATAAAAACATGTTTAAGACCTAGTCATTACATGATCCAATCCTCCTTTCTGTTCCTTGGAAAGAGTGGATCTAGATAAGTTAGGCTAGTTTACCTCCTAATAGCCAAAGGTGTATGATGGAGAAGAGAGATAAGACTAATGCTTTTTGACCAAAAAAAGTATAATCAAGATCCATGGGTAGAAATTTAAGAGACCTTTTAATTCCCTACAAGGAAAACCTTCTAACAATACATACTGTTCTATAACCAATTAATCTTCTTGACAGCGAAGTCTCCAGTTAAAAAATACGAGCATAGAGCAATTGACATTAAAGAGGATAGTCATACCTCAGGTCACTGTTCAACTGTAAAACAGCTTGGCTATCTAAAGAGGCATCACACACTTAATGTGTTACAAAAAGTTAAAATAAAATAAAAAATAAACCTCATGATTTCCCTCCTCACCCCTACCTTCTTCCTGAAGACTTCTACTTGTACATGGAATTTTTTAGGTCAAAAAGCCTTTGAAGCATCCTTAATTGCCCTTCTCTCACCTTTCACATCTCTTCCTTCAATAAATACTTGCGGCTGTACCTGCAAATTGCATTCATAATCCAATTACTTCTCATCACCTCCATTACCACTATCCCTGTTGAAGTCACTATCACCTCTGTCTGGATTTCTGAAATAGCTTCCTAAGTGGTTTCTCTGACTTCACCTTTGCTCTTCAACATAGCAGTCAAAGTGTTGTCACTTCTCTGCTCAGCACCTTCTAATGGCTTCCTATCTCATTCAGAGTAAAAACCAAAGTCTTTATAATGGTTTACAAGACTCTGCATGATCCACCCTCTCTAACTCTTGACCATACACGTCTTATCACTCTCCATCTGTTTCACACCTCTCCAGCCACCTCTGAAGTCACCATTTCTAGAATCATATCAATAATGCTACCACTTCAGGGCCTTTGCGCTTGCTGTTCCCTCTGCCTTAAAGGCTAGTCTCTGAGGCCTGCAAGTTTATGTCCCACATCATTAACATATAAAACACCATAAAGGCAACCAACAGAGCATTCTAATTGCTTTCTATGGACAAAAGTGCTCACACTCAGCACTTTCCTTTCCACAAGTTGGTACAGATGACAGACTGGGTGAGGCACTTCAGTTCCAACTGTGACTTAGGCTTATTTTTTTAAACCACAATTGCATCAAGTCCTCTGTGAACACCAAGTCAGGGAAATCTGGGTGCGGTACTCCCCCAACAGGGCACTATAACTACCTGGACAAAAAAGAACCTTTCTGATGGCTCAGGCCCGCTGGTCTGTGCCCTAGTCTTTCCACACCTCTGAAAAAATGAGTAAATTTCCTAGATGCAGGGTCACTTTGCTGTCCACAGGAAATTATATCTTTTTTCTCCTTTTATAACCAAAGTCCTTAGTTCAGCTTGAGAAAACCTAGCTATCACAGGGTGGCCGTGAATGGACAATAACAGAGAAAGCTGGGACATGGCATTCAGGTGGATTCCTTTCCAGAAAAAGAAGTCATCCATTTACCGAGATGACTCTCTCTAGGAACCCATGTCTCAGGGCTGCTGTGCATGGTTGTTCTGGTTCACACTATCAACAGCAGGGACATTATTCACACGGCGTTGTGTGGTGCAGCTTTTCTACTACTCAGCTTTTAGGGTTCCGAGATTAAAGACACTCTTGCTTCAGAGGGATGAAGACAAATGCATCTGATGTAAGAATTAATGTCGGCAAGGCAAGGAAGGAGGGAAATGAAGGGAGATTTGGAAATGAAGGGAGAAGTGTCCTGAAGGAGAGGGTGCACTTTGGATGTAATCTTTGGCCTCATTTCCTCTCACCTTGCACTCGAAAACCCCCACCCCTGTCCTCATGAGCTGGCTACTTTCCAACAAAAACCAAAGAGCCACAGGGGCATGGGGCTACTTCAAAACCCTTGTGTCCTAGTTTAAGAAAGCAGAGCACTGCTATCAGGAACTCAGAGCAGCAAGGTCGACTCCTATCTCTAGCTATTCCTCCGCCAAGGAATCAGATTTCCTCTTGTAAGAAGCCTACTTAGTGACTCTTTCTCAGGGGTTGCCTGGTGTAGGGGCTGAAGAGAATCTGAGAACACAGGATCCAGCTCCCGGATTAAAAGGAGTAGAAGCAGAAAACTGGCCAAAAAGATGTGATTCAGAGATAGGCCTCATCCATCTTCTCTTGTAAAGCCAAAGACAACTGCTTATGTGGGATAACAAGGAGAACTCGTGGTCTGGTCACAGGCAAGGAAGTGAGATGTTTCAATACTAATACTTGCTTTGGGCAAAGCATGCAAAATAATTGTCTTGCTTCTGCTGCTTAAGGACGAACTTCCCCGACTTAAGACATCTTCCTGGGACTCCAGCTTGTGAGATAAGGGACTGTGGTTTATTCAGCACATCACATCCAGCAATGAGATGCACATAGGCTGGACATTAAACCTCCCTGGAAACCACTGGGATCAGTATTTCTCTACCCAATTATCCACTTTGAAGTAATATATCAATGATCATTCAATAAACTTAGTTAATATAACCACCGGCAATGGAAAACAATATTTTTTTCTTTTTCAATAGGAAAAAAAAGCCTCTGGTAGGGAAAATCTGATATAAACTTTAAAATTTTAGCAGATGACTTCACCCCACACGACCATCTTGAATATATCAAGGATATGCTATTTAAGTCTGGCTCAGTGTGACACTCTTTATAAATCAAATAATTCTTTAATTTATCTTTTGGATAAATGGATTTTTATATAATAAATTGTTTTCAATTCGTACATCATAATTTGCAAGGCAATAGCTCATTTCCAATATTTATACATAGCAATATCAAGAGAAAGGCCATTTTCTCATCCCATTTTTAACAATCCAACCACAATATGCTGTTTTGGTAAGTACTTAGGTTGGGAGAATATTCGAGAAAACTATTTCTCCAGGTGAGAAACATCTCAAGCAAACATTGGAAGGAATGCATTTTCCAGTAGCCAGTAACGGATGAGACGACCTGGGAGACCCAGGGACCTCAGGAAAAGCAAATGGCTCCACTAAAACTCCCTCCTCCAACCTTAATTGGTCAAATGCCAAAATAAATGAACTTTCCAAAGTTAAGAGCTTTGCAACTTTCACTAGGAGTAACTACAGGTGCACAAGCCAGGACCGACGAGTCTACGAACCCCATCGTGGCCGGCGGTA
This sequence comes from Homo sapiens, assembly GCF_000001405.40. Taxonomy (NCBI): domain Eukaryota; kingdom Metazoa; phylum Chordata; class Mammalia; order Primates; family Hominidae; genus Homo; species Homo sapiens. The sequence goes on along the minus strand of NC_000011.10, from coordinate 7,252,969 downwards.
GTCGCTGGTCGAGCCTAGCGCCCAGGCCCAGGCCACCTCCATGCCGTGCGACCCGCCGGGAACGGGTTCAGGCCCGTCTGCCCAAGGCCAGAAGCACCCTGTCCCCGGCCCAACGCCGGATCGCGTCCCGCCCTTCTCACCCCATACCAAGGAAAGGAACTAGACGCTTGGGAGAAAGGATGAGCAGCACCCGGTGGGATTCGGCCCCAACCCGGGGCCGTCCCCAACTCCCAACTTCCCAGAGTTTCCTTCGGCCTCGTCCCCCTTCCCACGGCTCCGAGGCCGCCGCGGCCTCCCCTCGCTCTGAGTGCAGATAGCCCGGGAAGTGGAGAGCGTAGCTCGGAGCTAGGGAGCCGCCCCCAGGAGCCTTGGCGATGGGAGCGCAGGTGGCGGGCGTGGTCCCTCCAACCCTGCCCTAGCCGACCCGGAGTCGGCCTCCGTGCAGTAGCCACCGCCCGGGTCCCCGCCTGGTTACAGCATCAGGCCACAGTGCGCTGGTTCTTGATCACTCTCCTGGCTCGGTGGCCGCCCCCCGCCCTCTCCCAGTCCGCGTCGCTGTTCTGCCTCAGGCCCCGGTGCGGCCCCAAGTCCCAGCCCAGGGCCCTTAGGTCCCTCCAGGCGGCGGTGGCGGCACTCACCTGGGTCGCGGAGCCGGGGTCTGGCACGGTCCCGCAGGTGGTAAATGAAATCCTGGCAGCTGTCGTGCTCCAGGGCCCCACGGGCACAGAGCTCGGCCAGCAGCTGCAGCGCCTGGTGACAGAGCGCGTCCCTGGCCCCGGGCATCGCCCCCCCGCATCCTCGGACCGCGCCGGGCAGGCGGGCGCAGGAGACAGCCCTCCGCCTGCCAGCTCAGAGCCGCCGCCTCCGGGCCGTCCGCGCTCACCGCCAGGGACCTGCCGAGAAACGGTGCGAGCCTGAGCCCGAGCCCCAGACCCAGCCGGCCCGGCCTCCCACCGGTTGCATGCAGCTCTTCGCCAGCCGGTCGGTCAGGCTTTCTCTCTCTCCCGCCCGGTCCCTCCGTCCCTCCCCAGACACCGAGGAGAGGCGGTGCCGCACAGCCCAGAGCGCCTCTCTGCTTGCGCTCCGCCCGCTACTCGCGGCCGCCGGGGGGCGGGGCCAGGTCAGGAGTGCGCGCCGCAGGGTAGGATAGCGGCGGCCCCAGACCGGGGACCTGGGGTACTCCCCGGCTCCTGGCCGAGCGCGAGACTTGGCTTGGGACCTCGCGCCCAGAGCGGCCGCGCCCTGGCTTGGGGAGTGTGAGTGAGTGCGCGCTCCGGGCGCTTTCGCTACTCCACCCCTCATCCCTGATGCAAACCAAGCACCCGCTCCCACCGCCGAGTGTGTCCAAAGCACGTTCTTGGATGCCTAGTGCGAAGGTTACAATCTGGGCACACCCGCCAGATGCGCAGAACCGAGTCCCTGCTTCGAACTTGGAAAGAGCCGCCTGGGTTTGAACCATGGGCCTATGGGTGTCAGATGCCCAAATGCAGGGTTTGGGTCCAAGATTCGCCAACAAAGGAAGGATTTCCCAAGCACAGGCCCTTTTCGACCACTGTGGTGATTTGGATGGAGAAGGTGGAGGCTCTAGGTCAGAACTAAGATCAAATAAATAAACGATTCCTGGGAAAGACCCTGAGGCTTACCTGGGCTTCGTGGGTCCCTTAGTTTTCTAAGCAACCGTTTGGAAATCCAAACATTGCCAAAGTGTCTTCAGCACCCAAGGAGGAGTATCACAGAATCTTGGAGAGTTGGAAGGAACCTCAGGGCACCTCTCATCCACCCATCTTTTCAGCCTTTCAAGCAGTAAAGCCTAGAAATAACCACGAAGTACTCTGGGTGTGTGTGTGTGTGTGTGTGTGTGTGTGTGTGTCACTGTGCCACAAGCCTTTTAGGTACATAATCTCATTTAATTCTGTACATAGCCCAACAAGGTCTGTGTAATTGTTATCCTCATTTTACCAATGAGAAACTGGGGCCTGGGGACTCACAAAGGTGTTACTTGCTCAAATTCATACATGATGAAGGTAGCTTTGATTTTCTCTCTTTCTTTTTTCTTTTTTCCTTCTTTTTCTTTTGTCTTTTTTGTAATACTGGTGTTCAGGCCCCCACTCTAGAGCAATTAGAGTAGGATCTCTAGAACTGGTAACTATCATTCTTAGCCATGAGGTTGTGCCGTCTCTACGGACATATCACAACAATTCATATTTGCACAGAAAGATAATTTGGGATCCTATAGAATGCTCACGCAACAGGCAACCTTTGAAATCCTGCTGTGAATGGTACTAGGGTTTCAGGGAACTTACATGGGAATAGCAGAGAAAATGCAAAGTTGTAAAGGTAAAGATGCCTCCAGAGAGTTGCAAAGAGACAAACAGAGGGAGGAGAAACCAGCTTTAAGGGAGCCTGTAGGGGAGGTTGAGCAGATGCTGTTTCTTCAAAGGGGGGAACCCCTAGAGAAGAAGAAAAAGGCCATGAACAGAGAAGGTGACACCAGAGATAGTGTGATGCTGGGGGGGGGTGGCGGGGGGGACATATAGTAATGGTGAGAAGGTATGTGTGTTGAAGCACATGGAAATATTACCCTAATGCCATCATGTCAGAGAGGAACTGAAAGCAACAAGTTCAGTTAAAAAATGACTTTGATAAACCAGGCAAGAGATGATGAAGGCCTAAACCAGGCCAAAGGCATTAGCTGATTGCTAGAAACATCCAAATTTGAAAAACATTTCAAGTATTAAGTGACAAGATTGCAACCAATGGAATAAGAAAGAAGTGAAAGGCACAAACGTTTCAAAACGTTACCTGGGTCATATGTGCTCACACCCTAATAACACTTAGAAATGCAAGCCTAGAGTTTAGGAGAGAGTGAAGACTGGCAATCATCATTGGAAAGGTAGAAACTGAGTTGCCACATGGGATGGTTCCTTCAAGAAAGAAGAGTTGAAGAAATGAAAGAGGAGATTGGAAGGTAGCAATGAGAACAGGAGGAAAGATTGTACAGAGGGGAGTCATAGGGATCACGGGAGGAGGAGTGTTTGGTAGAGGAGCGAGCAACATCAACTGTAAACTTTCAAATATAGTTTAAAGAGAAAAAACTAAAAAGTGTCCTTTGGATAAAGTAGACAGTAAGACATTCAAGATTTAGACAGACTAGTTACTATGCAACCAACCTTGTGCAAGTTAACATTTTTGTGCCTAGGGTTTCTCATCTTATCTCAAAGATAACGTGTATCTTTGGGCTGTTACAAAGATTACATAAAGCAATATATTTAAGTGCTTGTAATAGTGCTGCCACATAGTATGGGCTCAACCAATATGTGTTTTTGCTGTTTCTGTTATGTTTCTACTACAATGTACGAGGTGCTAAACACACTTTCTTAATCTATTACTTACAACATCCCAAAGTGGTTGATGCTATATTTCCTATTTTACAGGCAAAGAAAGTAAAATCAGGTGGTTAAACAATTTGTTCAAGGACAAATTGGTAGACTGTTTCCAAAGACAGCCATAGCTATCCCTCCAATTCCATGTGTCCTTTTGGAGTGTGATTTTACCACTCTTCCCATCAAGAAGTCAAGTCTGTTCCCCTCTGCTTGAATTTGGGCCTGCCTTGTGACTCACTTTATTCAACAGAATGTGTAGAAGTGAAATTCTGAGCTGAGTCTAGACTTGAAAAGATCTTGCAACTTTTACAGGATATCTTGCTGGAGAGGGGTCCAGAAGAATGAGAAACAATGTGGAGAAAGAATATCATACAGAAGGGAAGTGAGATACTGCTATAGAGTGAACTGTAAATTCTTATGTTGAAGCCCTAATTCCCGATGTCACTGTATTTGGAGATAGGACTTAATTAAGAGTAAATGAGGTCATAAAGGTAGAGCCCTGATCCAATAGGATTAGTTTCCTTATAAGAATCATCAAACCAGCTGGCTGTAAGTATTTGGGTTTATTTCTGGGTTCTCTATTCTGTTCCATTGGTCTGTATACCTATTTTTATACAACTACCATGCTGTTTTGGTGACTATGGTCTTATAGTATAGTTTGAAATCAGGTAATGTGATGCCTCCAGATTTGCTCTTTTTGCTTAGTCTTGCTTTGGCTATGTGGGCTCTTTTTTGGTTCCATATGAATTTTAGAATTGTTTTTTGTAATTTTATGAAGAATGATGGTGGTATTTTGATGGGAATTGTGTTGAATTTGTAGATTGCTTTTGGCAGTATAGTCATTTTCACAATATTAATTCTATCCATCTGTGAGCATGGGACATGTTTCCATTTGTTTGTGTCATCTCTGATCTCTTTCAGCAGTGTTTTGCAGTCTTCCTTGTAGAGGTCTTTCACCTCCTTGTTTAGGTATATTCCTAAGTATTTTATTTGGAAAGGACACCCTTTTCAACAAATGGTGCTGCAATAATTGGCTAGCCACATGTAGGAGAATGAAACTGGATCCTCATCTCTCACCTTATACAAAAATCAACTCAAGATGGATTAAGGACTTAAATCTAAGAGCTGAAACTATAAAAATTCTGGAAGATAACATTGTAAAAACTCTTCTAGACATTGGCTTAGGCAAGGATTTCGTGACCAAGAACCCAAAAACAAATGCAATAAAAACAAAGATAGATACATTTCTGGGACTTAATTAAACTAAAGAGCTTTTGCACAGGAAAAAAAAAACAGCAGAGTAAACAGACAACTCACAGAGTGGGAGAAAAATCTTCACAATCTATACATCTGACAAAGGACTAATATCCAGAATCTACAACGAACTCAAACAAATCAACACGAAAAAAACAAACAATCCCATCAAAAAGTGGGATAAGGACATGGATAGACAATTCTCAAAAGAAGATATACAAATGGCCAACAAACATGAAAAAATGGTCAACATACTAATGAACAGGGAAATTGAAATCAAAAGCACAATGCGATACCACCTTACTCCTGCAAGAATGACCATAATCAAAAAATCAAAAAACAGTAGATGTTGGTGTGGATGCAGTGAACAAGGAACAATTCTACATTGCTGATGGGAATGTAAACTGGTACAACCACTATGGAAAACAGTGTGGAGATGCCTTAAAGAACTAAAAGTAGAACTACCATTTGATGCAGCTGTCCCACTACTGGGTATCTACCCAGAGCAAAAGAGGTCATTATACGAAAAAGATACTTGCACATGTATGTATATAGCAGCACAATTCACAATTGCAAAAACACAGAACCGACCCAAATGTCCATCAATCAATGAGTGGATAAAGAAACTGTGATATATATATATATATACACACATATATACGTATATATACATATGTATATATATATATCACGTATATATACACGTATATATACACGTATATATGTATATATACGTATATATACACATATATATGTATATGTGTATATATGTGTATATACATGTATACGTGTATATATATGTATATATGTGTGTATATATGTATATATGTGTATATATATGTGTGTGTATATATATATGTATATATATATGATGGAATACTACTCAGCCATAAAAAGGAATGAATTAACGGCATTCATAGTGACCTGGATGAGACTGGAGGCTATTATTCTAAGTGGAGTAACTCAGGAATGGAAAACCAAACATCTTATGTTCTCACTCACAAGCAGAGCTAAGCTGTGAGGATGCAAAGACATAAGAATGACACAATGGACTTTGGGGACTCAGGGGAAAGGGTGGGAAGGGGGCAGGAGATAAAAGACTTCAAATAGGGTGCAGCGTATAGTGCTTGGGTGATGGATGCACCAATATCTCACAAATCATCTCTAAAGAATTTAATCATGTAACCAAACACCACCTGTTCCCCAATAACCTATAGAAATAAAAAATAATTTTTAAAAAGAGTCATCAAAGAGTTTGCTTTCTCTCTGCCATGTGAGGACACAGTGAGAAGGCAGCTCTCTGCAAGCCAGGAAGAAAGCCCTCACTAGAAATGGAATTGGCTGCAACCTTGAGCTTGGACTTCCCAGACTTCTGACTGTGAGAAAATAAATTTCTATTGTTTAAGCCACCCAGTATATGCTATTTTGTTACAGTAGCCCTGGAAGACTAAAATAGATGCCTCAGTCAACAGCCAGCCCAAGACCTCACACATGTGAGTGAGGCCATGGACCTCTCGAACTTGGACCTTCCAGCCCACAAATGAGCACAGCAGACAATAAGTGAAGCAGAGGTGAACCATCCCCATTTACCAAATTTCTCACCCACAAAATCATGAGCAATAAAATGGTGGTTGTTTTAAGTCATAGAGTTTGGGAGCAACCTTTTAATGCAGCAGTAGACATCTGAAATAGGCAAAAAACTGGTAAATGATAGAAACAGGACTGGAATCCACATCTTTGTGGCTCCAAAGCCTCTGTTCTTCTGCAATTATAGTAGAGTGGTGAGGGTGGAACCAGCTGAACACAGGATTAAAAAGTACATGGAAATTGAAGAAGTAGAGTTAGCTGAAATATGTTACCTTTCCCCAACTATTTGTTCTTTCATTCATTGAACAAATATGTATTCTTCTATGATTCAGAAAGCATGACAGAGGAAGTCCCCTGTGACTCAGGAAGCCTTCCAGGTCCTGGGTAATATATAGAGAAATAAACAATGATCCTTGCTCTCTAAGGCAGTGCTTCTCAGTCTTGTACTTGTCGTGGCATAGATAGAAAGTGAACTTTTTACAGCACATGGGGGTAAGGGACTAGGCCACTGGTGGCCAGCAGGGACTGTGGCAGAAGGAATCAAAGTCTCAGCCCAGGTATTACCCATTCTGTGGCACATCAAGCTTCCCTGGTGCCCTGGTTAGGAAGTTTTGCTGTTTAGACCTACCAAGTAGAAGTAAAAGTAAATCTTTTGAGAGAAGGACAAAGAGAAGATGGTAACTGAAAAAAAAAAGTGCATAGAAGAAAAGCTGTTTGAAGATAGGAGCGACTTCAGAATGTTTTTATCAATGTTTCCCAAAGTAAGGTTCACTTGCCTTCTTTTCTGAAATTGCCTGGATTTCTTATGAAAATGCTGGTTCCTCGGATTCACTCAGACCTACACAATTATTTCGTAAAGAGCATCCCAGATGCTATGGTTGGACAAAAATACATGTTGAAATTTAATTGCCATTTTAACAGTATTAAAAGGTAGAATGTTGATGAGATGATTAGGCCATGAGGGCTCCACTTGCATGGGTAGAATTATGCTGTTATAAAAGGGTGAGTTTGGCCCCCTTTTGTCTCTTTGCCCTTCCACCATCTACGATGTGATGATACAGTAAGAAGGCCCTTGCCAGATGCCAGTGCCTTGATCTTAGACTTCCCAGACTCCAGAATTATAAGACAATAAATGTTTTTTCTTTTTAAATTACCTAATCTCAGGTATCCTGTTACAGCAGTACAAACAGAATAAGACACTGGGTAATGCTTCTGAACAATGAAATTTGAGAACCTCCAGTTTATATGCTGACGAAAAAAGCCTTTGGTGGGTGACGGAATAGAACCCTGACTCAAAAAACAAAAACAAAAACAAAAAAAAAAGAGAGAAAAGAAAAGAAAAAGGCCTTTGGAAAAAGATCTTTGAAGTCACCTACAATGTCCCTGAATGATATACATTAATGATTATAACTAATCATTATTAAGCATTTGTTATATACCATCATGCACTTGATATATGTTGTTGCATTTAATCCTGGCCACCCAGCAAGGCACACATTATGTTTCCATTTTACATTTACAGATGAGGAAACAAGAACAGAGAAGTTTAGTAACTTCTCCATGGAACTTCTCCAGCTTATTGGAGACAGCCAGCATTCAAATTCAAATTTGTCTGGCTCCAGAGCCTGTGTTTTCCATGCCACACTGCTGCTCCAAGTCACGTCCAGAACACAAATATCCGGTATCTTTATCCACTTTTTGTGTGACATTGCTCAGGTTCTCTCATCATCTTATCTGTCTTCTACGTGTGCTGCAATTGGTCAAAATCCTTTCTGAAATAGAGTTCCTGAGCTGAGCCCAGCACTCCTTCACCCTTTAGCATCAACTTCCTGCTCTCTCTGTGCCTCAGGCTTCTGAGTTGCTGCTTGGGTTACAGCATCTCAACATGCCATGGATGAAATCCCATAAATCTTTCATGCTGCTCTTAGACCACATCCTTACCCCTGTTCCTGTGAGCTAGATTCCGTACTTTGGGAAATGGTGTGGGATTCTTAACAGCAAAACTTTCTATTAATTGTCATTTTGTTTTATTCAGTTACTTGCCAGATAGTTGCCTTTAACAAAAGAAAATAAGATTTGATTAGCATGACTGGTTCTCAGTGAACCCATGCTACCTCCTAGTGATTAGCACTCCCATCAAATGCTCAAAAACTTCCTAATTATCCAAAAAAGGTATTCATTCTAACATTTGCTTTAGACCCTGAAGTATACATAATTTATCTGGACCAAGAGACTAGCACTGACTTAGAGTTCATGTTCTGTGACTATCACTGTCATCTTGGGCATCAATAGCCTTTAATCTGTGAGCTTTATTCTTTCCTGTTTCGAGTGAATTTTCTTGAGAGATGAAATAAAAGCAAATTTGGAATTGAGCAGCTCTATTTTGCCCATGTGTGTGTTATCGTTGCACCATTATTCCAGTAGCAGTTGTTCTGGTATGTTCAAAATCTGTATTCCTCTCTCCTGGACTGTGTGGATTTCTTTCCAGTTTTATGATGGACAATTATAAAGTTGTAAGTCCATTTCTTTCACTTTAAAGAAAATAGAGATTTGTTGGCTTTAGAATTTAAAAAGATACACCATATACGAAATATACTGAAAGGAACAGAGGGCCATGTTCCAGGTCGGAGGGCCTGGCACTCCTCTGCCGTCTCTTAGTAGATTCTCGTGGTTTTACATTTGTTCATCGTTTCAGAACAAGGCCAGAAGGGAGAGCAGAGGTCAGATTTCTGCTTAACTGAGACTGAGAAAAACCTGGACCTCAGTACCCTCCACCAACAGATGAATTTAAAAAAAAAAAAATGCTTTCTGCATCCCTAGAGCTGTCTTTCAAAGTGGCTGACGACTCTCATCCTGGGCAGGTCTGGGCAACTGCTGCAGTCACTCTGGATGCTCCAAAGAGAGAAGAGGATGATGAAATCCAAAATTGGTTAGAGAGTGTCACAAGTGGTTGTAGACTATCCAACTAGCCAAAAAGATGCCAGAAAAAAGAATTCCAATGAACCAACCCCTTTCCTCATTGCCCACAGCAAACCTCCCCCATCCCCAGTGATGAAAATGAATCTGGAGCAGGTCGACTGACACTCAGCTGCCTGCTTAGGAAAAAAGGAAGTAAATGTGCACTTTTATGGGTGAGAATATGGGTAGTGAGCACTTAAAGAAGAGTTTTAGTAATCCCTTTCTTGATCCTTTACTTAGTAACAAAGCTTTGACAAAAATCTCTGTGTACACAGAAAGAGAGGAAGGAAGTAAGAAGGGGAGGAGGAGGCAGAAGGGGGAGAAAGAGGGAGAGATCCACTATATTGCCTCTGGCCTTATTCAGAGACCATAGAAAAACCATACGTTTGTCTCAGCCCTACTCTGTGCAAAGAACCAGGCTTCAGGTTATCTGCCGAGTTTAGTGCTTAATCACATTAATCAAAAACCAATCAATTAATTAAAAGTTTATTTAGTGAACAATAAATGCAAAGATATTTGATACAACTTTCATGTTGGTTCTTAATTTCCATATTTAAGCTTTCCTTCTCTGCTTATATCATTCATTCATTAATTGTAACTGCAAAATTATTGCTGTCTTGTCACACAAATATTTTTTCTCTATATATATTTTATGTTCTCTACTTTTCAGAAATGTTCTTTCAGAAATGTTATCCTGTTCATATTGGTAATACTTTATATTTATTTATTTATTTATTTATTGAGACAGAATTTCACTCTCATCACCCAGGTTGGAGTGCAATGGTACAATCTCAGCTCACTGCAACCTCCGCCTCCCGGGTTCAAGCAATTCTCCCGCCTCAGCCTGCCGAGGAGCTGGGATTACAGGCACCCACCATCATGCCTAGCTAATTTTTGTATTATTAGCAGAGACAGGGTTTCACCATGTTGGTCAGGGTGCTCTTGAACTCCTGACCTCAGGTGATTCTCACGCCTTAGCCTCCAAAGTGCTGGGATTACAGGTGTAAGCCACCTCACCCAGCCTGGTTATACTTTCAATTATCTCCATTACAAATTTTCTTGACCTTTTTTTCCCACCTCTAATCTACCTACTCCTAACTTTATTCTTTCTCATTCTCTCCATAAATTCATTCTGCAAAGCTCTTATTGGGAAACAAAGTGGAATTTAGAATCCTAGAGGTCTATTTCAAAGTTAAAATTATCAGTGTTATATTAAAATTATTTTTACTGTTTTTTGAACTCATGCTATGTGCCAGACACAACAAAAATGCCCTAAATATATTAGCTCATATAATCTCTATAACAACCCTATGCAGAGGGTGGTGTTCTTAATTATCACCACTTTTCTACTGAAGAAATGTAAGCACAGAAACTAGGTATCCTGCCCAAATTCACACAGCTGATCAGCTGGAGAGATGGGCAGTATGACTCCTGAGCCCTGCTCTTAACCACCCCAGATGGGTCCAGGGAAAAGCACAGAGCTCACATCATGAAGCTGAATAGTCCCAAATAGCCAATAAGGGCAGCACTGGCCTTATGCCTTCACCAACTCTGCAGTCAGATCTATGCCTTCATTTTGTTTTCTACTTCTGAGGATGGGCAGGGTCTGACCAACGCACATTAGAGCCCCATGTGGTCTTTCCAGACTGGCCTATGCATCCATTTACAGCAGACATTTATTAAGCAGTTGCTCTGCATCACATACTGTGTGCTGTGCTTTATGTGTTTTTAATTTAATCATTTCCATAAGCATTTGAAATAGTTATTGTAATTAGCATCTGGACTTTATAGAAGGAAACATTGAAACTCTGAAGTCTAATTCACCTGCCCAAAGTCACATAGCTAGTAGCCAATGGAATAGAAATGGGAACCCATGTTTGGGAGACTCCAGAGACTGAAATGTAACCACCATACAATATGTCTCCTCATCAGTCTCCTATTAGAATTATCTGGCAGGATTTTTCAAATTTGATATACAGTCTTTCAGACTCTTACGATCCCCCTGGACAAATGCAGGAAAACCAAATCCACACATCGAAATGAATTATACACAGCTTACTAAAGAATTGATTAAAGCCCAGGTGATTTACTACAGACTATAAGCAAAACACTCTGTGCTGTTGTTATTCTTCTAATCCAGTCCCACTTGACTAATCAATCAATCCATGATCCTAATTAATCAATCGGCAATTCCACTGTGGTCTGAATCCTTCCAACTGGCTTTTTCCTGGTCCTTAGCTACTTCTCTTCTGCACTTCAGCTTCTCATATCCATGTGCATTAGAGTTACCTTCCTTCAACACAGAGACTTCAATTTCTCTATCTGCAACTCACCAAAGTTCATATTTTGCATGGAAATTTTCTAATAACTGAACATACATTTTCTTTCTATTCAATAACTGCAAAATAATTGCTGTTTATTACCACACAAATATTTTTTCTCTCCTTCCATCTGGGTAGTACCTCAGTAAGTTTCTCTGTTATCATTTTTCACTCCTTTTCATATAGATCTCTAAGATATGTGCTGTGTGTGGGGGGGGTGAGTGTGTGCGTGTGTGTGTGTGTGTGTGTGTGTGTGTGTTTTAAATAACACCTCTTCCTTCTTGTTGGGAATAGAGTAACTCTTTTTCTAGGCTTGGCCAGTAGAGGAAGTAATGGACTCTATCTGTTGCAATATAAAACAGTGTCTCAAGATGCATGTGGATATAACAAAAAATATAGTTTTTTTCTTTTAAAATGTTTTATTCCCCATAGAAGACTATTTCTTTCCAAGTAGAATTAGAATTCCTCAGGTTTGTCAGTGAACAGCAGTGAGCCAAGGTGAGGTCTTATTTTGCATTTCTTAAAGGGTCTTGTTGGTTTAGACCCCTTCTGAGGGTGTGGTGTATTGAAAGGAAGGAAAACCCATCAAGTTTAGATAATGAGTTTTTATGCAAAATCTGAACTTTAATGCACTGTAGATGGCTGCCTGACTTGGAGGGTTTAATTAGAAGAAGAGGTATATCTTAATTAGAAGAGGTATACCTTTTAAACTATAACTTTAACCTCCATTGATTAAAACAAAAGTACATCTTAATTTTTAAGATATAAAAAAGCTCATTATATATCATTTGTCCTATTTGAAGTAGTAGTTCGTTTAAAGCAATATAATGTTATTTGTGAATTTCTTTAAGGATACTACTTGAATCAAATAGTAAGAGACGGTATTCACTTCATGTTTTAAAATTTTAGGAATGCTAGAAGACGTATTCAAAGCTTGTTTGTGGAGGCTGGTTTTCAGCCATTTACTATGACATTTATGAGGAAAATGTCTTGCATATATTATTCAAGAAAAAAACAGTAGACAGGTTTTATAAAGGATTGGAGTTTTTTGTTTTTGTTTTTGTTTCAATTCTGTCCCTATTTTTCTTCAGTATCTAGCGGTGGTTAGGCTCAATTGACAGTGAAACTCACTTAATCTGCTATATGAAACTTCAAACACAGACGCAAGTTAAAATGTGGAATCTGGTCATTACCTTCAAATATAGACAGCCAGGAATGGAATGGGGTGAGATGAGGGTAGGGAGGAATTGGGACTCGGGAGGCTGGACAACAGCTCACCACTTGGACCTCTGAGATGTGCCTTGGTTTTCTTCTTTTCTCACGGACTACTCTCTTTCTTTGTCTTTCACTGGCTTCCCCTCTTCTACCTGACCTCTAACTGTCGGCATGCCACAGAGCTTTGTTCTCAGACCTGCATTCCTCCCTTGCTACCCTTGTCCGTAAGGATTTCACTCAGTTCCGTGGTTTTAAATTCCTTCTATATGCTGATGACTCTCCAGTTCATATAATCAGCCATGATCTCCCTCTTAGCTTCAAATTCATGTATTAATCTGTCTATGTGCAACTATTCAAATGTGTAACTTCACCTTCATCTCAACCTGTTTCTACCCAACATTTCTTATCTAAGTAAATTATTGATTTAATTGCTCAGGTCTAAACTAATGCATCATTCCTTCTGTCTTGTTTTTTCCCTTCTCCCTCCTAATCCAATCCACCAGCAAATCTTGTTGCTTTTAGGTGTGTCCTTCTCTCCGCCCCTACTCCATTACCCTAATACGAACCACCATCACCCTCTGCCTGGACCCTGTAATAACTGTCTAAAGCAGACTGTATTGGTTGCTTACTCAGTATCTATTAGTCTACAGAAAAGCCCTATATTTTTTAATGTAGCCACCTTCTTCCAGGTGCTTTGAGGGAGTATGACTTTTTTCCCGGATCCTGGAGGTCAAAACTAATTAGTCCAAGGCAGTTGTGGTAAAACCATTCTTCTTTCCAGTGTTAGGTTTGGGATGGAGCATCTGACATAATTAGGGCTAATGAGACATGAAGGAAAGTCTATAGAGGGCTACTGAATAAGGTGCCTCACTGTTACAAAAAGACTGCTGTAGTCAAACTGCCACCAGCCAGAAAGGATGATGAAACACCCAGGGAAAGACCCAGGCTTGAGTGCTCTAGAACAGTGGAGCCAGAATCTTGGCGGTTCACCCCTGCAGTCCCCTTCTTCTGCACTTCCTGTTAGGGGAGCTACTTCATTCCATATTATTTAAGCTACTTTGAGGCAGTGTTTTCTGTTACTTGCCTTCAAAGGTTTTTATGTCAGTCTGGGTTCCTAGTTGCCAATAAGAGAGCTCACTAGATAGTTTAAACAAAATGTATGAAAGAATATCCTGGAGTAAATCAGGCTTGGGTGTCAGGTAGCCAGAAACAATATCCATGTTCTGTCAGCAGACAGCTCCAATGCTGACTCTACCACTCCCACCACTTCTGGGTGCAGGCACAGCCATCCACAGGGACAGAGATGGGCACAAGATTCCCCACTAGCAACTTTACCTCTGCCTCCTTTGAAAGCTAAATCTCCCTCCACCACCTTCGCCAGCATTTGTTCTCTGCATTACTGGCTTCTTCATATCATTCTTTCCCAAATTGAAGTCTCAGGCAGGAGGATCATGTTGACAAAGCTCAGGACTGCAAGAGAGGCTGAGTGTGGTAGCAGGGTTCACAAAGGGGATGCACTCATCATCTATTATTATGTAACAAATTACCCCCACAATGAACAACTTAAAACAGCACACATTTATCATTTCACAATATCTAAGTGTCAGAAATCCAGAAGCAGTTTAGGTGGGTGGTTCTGGTTCAGGGTCTGCCATGAGATTCTAGTCAACTTGCTGGCCAGAGCTGCATCATCTGAAGTCTTGACTGGGGCTGCTTTCAATAATGCCTACTGCTTGGCTACTGGCTGGAAGTCTCAGTTTCTCATCATGCAGCCCTCTCCACAAGGATACTGGGGTATTCTTAAGAAATAGCTGACTATTCCAGAGTGAGTGATGAGAGAGAGAAAAAAAGAAAAAAGCAAGAGAGGAAGCTCAAGACATAAGCCACTGTCTTTTATAACCTAATCTTAGAAGTGATATGCCATCACTTCTGCTGTGTTCTATTGGTTACACACACTAACCCTGGTGCTGTGTGGGAGGGAACCACTCAAGGGAGCAAATGCTAGGACGTGGGGATCACTAGCAGTTATCTTGGAGGCTGGTTTTCAAGTGGGAAATTTCTCCAAACATAGAAAGAGTGTATTAAAGAAGCCCGATGGCCAGAAAGCATGAAAAATATGTATTGAAGCAGGGCTTTCCAATATTTTTTACATTGTGACAGACACGGAAGATGGTGCTAATTTTTCAGCATTCTCTGGTTAAAGGATGAATCCTCCTATGGCCAGAACCGCCCCACAGCTTTGGCCAAACTCATTCTCTCCTGGTTACACCAAGGGCAGAGGGGAACAATATCTTTCACACCTATAACCTGTTGATGTGCTAAAACATCCTAACTGACGCACTTCCTTCTTCCAATATTGCCTCCTACCAATTCTTTCCCCTCAGAGCAGCCATGGCGATCTTTCAATTCATGAGTTTAATCACATTGACTTACTGCTTCAACCCCAAATGCTTCCAATAACACTGGAAATTAAGCCCAAACTCCTTTGTTTGATCCATAGTGCCAGCATAGCTGAGCTCCCTCTACCTTTCTGACATCAGTTTGTGCTACTCTCCCTCTTGCTCAGTTTGTCTCAGTCACATTGTTCTCTCTCTGTCCTCAAATGCAATCAGTTTGTTACTAACTCCCTGATGTTTCACTTGCTTCTTCCTCAACTTTAGGGACACCTTTTCTGCAGGCTCCTTCCTTTCCTTTGCATATTGGCCTATACATCACCTTTTCACAGAGCCTTCCATGTTGACCCTGTCTAAATGCTCTATTTCACATCAATATCCTTCATATCCCTTATCACTATCAGAAACTATCTTGCTCATTCCATTAAATCACAAATATTTATTGAACACCTGCTATATGTCAGAAACAGTTCAGGGTTCTGAGTATCTGTTTGCTTATTGGTTTTTTTTGTTTATTTGTTTTTGTTTTTGTTTTTGCTTACTCCCATCCCCCATTCCCTCTGACAACTAGTATGTTCACTCCCTGAGGCTAGGGACCTTGTCTGCCATGTTCATCACCAAGAATCCAGCATCTAAGACAGTGCCTGACACATAGGAGGTGTCCAGTGAATAACTGTTAAATGAAAGAAGGTGGATAGTGAAGGGCAACACTCAGATCCAGATGGGATAGGGTACTCATGAGAGCATGGGTCAAGAGCTTAGCAAACATGTAAGAACCATGCTGCTCTTTTCTTTTCTCTGGGCATAAAGTAGTTGCTCAGTAATTCAGCCAAGCAAGTTTGTAGACAACAACTTGCCCAGTATTTGACAAAGAGCAGTTTTGTTTTGTTTTGTTT
This sequence comes from Homo sapiens, assembly GCF_000001405.40. Classification (NCBI taxonomy): domain Eukaryota; kingdom Metazoa; phylum Chordata; class Mammalia; order Primates; family Hominidae; genus Homo; species Homo sapiens. The sequence continues at coordinate 7,236,962 of NC_000011.10, read as the reverse complement.
TTAAAAATGCTTGTCTGATGATTGAGTGACCTGGTGTAATTTCAAGAAAAACCCTTAGGAGAAATATATCAAAACCTTTCAATGATTTTGTCTGCAAACATGAAGATTCAAAAGCACCTGAGGAGCCTAACCTTTTCCTGCTGGCTGAAATGAAAATGCATTACCCTTTTATGTAAAATTATAAAGCAACTGAGTTTAAAATGGAGAAGAAGACAGAAGGGCTTAGAAACAGGTCTATAATTTTACGCCAAGTTTAAAATATCTTACCTCGAATTTGTATCCAAGATTTAGGTCTTTACTACCTGTGCTATCTGGTGTAATGAATGGCGACCTTGGCCAAGAGGAATTCCCTGGACTGTTGTCTTTGATCCTTTCCGATCACTTAAGGCTGATGAGTTGAGCACCTCCTGGCTAAATATGGCCTTATCAGTCACTGTGCGCTCCTTAAATGTATAAGGTCAGGTTCTTACCTGTGGGGCATCACATCCCTGAAGGAAGGACAGACAGGCAGATGCCTAGTTAAAGCACAGAGCCATGTAAAAGTTTTTTATAAAATTATAAAACAATGCAAAGGGATGGAGAGAGTAATTCTCTCTAGAAGAACTGGTCTATTATTTGATCATGTGGCCATAAGAAATTTACTTACTATGTCTGGATAGCAGTATTTCAATGGCAAAATAGCATGTTTGACAAGGCAGGACACTTTTTGGGCTCTAATAGTCTAACGTTGAAGTTAGATTAGCTGGTTTCATATGTATTAGTCTCATCTTCCCTACTAGACTATCATCGGGTAGGGATAATATCTCAATCATCTCTCTATCCCAGGGCCCAGAGGGCACTGCCTGTGACTGTAGTAGGCATCCATTGAGTGCACATTGATTGGTTGACTAAAATTCATCTTTCTATCTTACTCTAATATCTTAGAATCTAGTAGAATTCAGCACTCCAAATTGATAGGCTTCAAACAATGGAGTTTAAAGGTATATATAAATGCCTGCAGAGAGCTATTTCTAGCCTAATGCCTTATTTTTGTGAATCTTGATGAAGGGCTCGAAGAGGGCTCTGCACCTCAATTTTACTTTGACAGAAATCTATCTGAAAAGTTTCCTCTTCTGAACTGATCTAAGCCCCTCACCCCTCCATGATCCTCCCTGAGTCTTAACACCTTAGACCTGTGAACATTAATGTAAATGTGTATCTTGAAGGTGTGTCTACATGTGAGAATTTTGTGTGTGTATGCATGCAAGTTGTCTGAGTCTCTCTGAGTGTGTGCTTGTGTGTTTTCTCCATTGAGAGCAAGTTGTCTATGCCCTGCAGAATTCCCAGCCCAACCTCAGAAACCAAAAGCCTTCCTCCAAGTTACAGAGTTTACGCCAGAGAACAAACATGGATGGAGCTCATGTTTCTTGCTTGTCAGTCCTAGGTCTTCATTCCTTATTCCTGGAGGAAGGAATCTATTCATGAAGGTTTAGATGGAGATAACCATGGAAAAGCTACCAGTCTCAGTGTTGTTGGGTTTTGTTTTTGTTTTTGTTTTTGAGTATTAAAAGATAGCAAGCAAGTTTGACTTTTTCTACTGAATAGATGATGTTCTGTCTGTCAGAAAGACTGGTGCCTGGAAAGTTTTTTGCAGACACTTGCTTTAAGTTTATGACTTGCTTTGCTCCCACAGGAGCAAGAAAATGAACCATTTGTTTTTCAAAACACACACACACATAGAACTATAAAATAAAAATTGATGGCCGAATAAGCTGCCCCCCACCCAAGTTTAATTCATACCTGTCTGAGTGTCTGTACAATTTAAGCACTAAGGTATAAGTGGGTCCAAGTCTAGGCTTCCAGAGACTATCCCATGAATATTAATATTAGTCTGGGATTTCCAGCGAACACAAAGTAGCCCAATGTTACACCACTAACACCGTTTCTGGGTCAGGATGACTCCTGAGGCAAAAGAAACTTCTATGCACTGGAGAAGCTTCAGGTTCCTTTTCTTGCCCCCCATCACCCCCACCTTCCCCCAGCACTTGCTGTTTTATTACAGAATTAGTGGGAAGGAGACCATTTGTGGAGCTGTTGCTGTTCTAAGCACTTTACAAATAATAACTCATTGATTCCTCAAAATAATTCTATAAGGTAGGTGCTATTACTACATCCATCTTACCAGTAAGGAAACTGAAGCATGGAAGCACTTACCCAAGGTGAAACAGCCAATAATTAGGAGAGCCAGGTTTCAAACCCAGGCAGTCTGCCTAGAGACTCTATTAACTGTGAAACCACACTATCTGATGGACCAAACCTCTGTGGCAGGCAGATTCCAGAAATGGACTTGTAATGTCAATATTAAATAAAATCACAGTTTTAAATAGAACAAAACTTTGGCAATTATGTATTTTAAGATTAATTAATTTTAAGGATTATAACAAGGCAAATATAAAAATGGAAAACATTGAGAACTTGTTGTAACAGCCCATGGACTATGATTTTTTTAAATGTACTAATAAGAGCAAGGAAACTTCAACGATTTCTCTTCTTTTATCCTCTCATCTTGATATCTCTGGATACAATGCTCCACCATCTGTCCATATATGCCTCAGCTATGTTGAATCCCAGGAATGGAATTCCTTAAAAGCATACATAAAAAGACCTCTGTAGTCTGTTTTGTGTGGTTGGAGGGGAGAGTGACTCCTCTGTATCCTCTGGTAGGTGAAAGCCCTGGACCGCGTAGCATCCTTTGTTAGTGATTTTACTTGAAATCTACCTTCAGGAGCTCTTTTAGGGCAGGCCTGGTGGTGACAAAGAAGACATTTATGCAGCCAAAAAACACATGAAGAAATGCTCATCATCACTGGCCATCAGAGAAATGCAAATCAAAACCACTATGAGATATCATCTCACACCAGTTAGAATGGCAATCATTAAAAAGTCAGGAAACAACAGGTGCTGGAGAGGATGTGGAGAAATAGGAACACTTTTACACTGTTGGTGGGACTGTAAACTAGTTCAACCATTGTGGAAGTCAGTGTGGCGATTCCTCAGGGATCTAGAACTAGAAATACCATTTGACCCAGCCATCCCATTACTGGGTATATACCCAAAGGACTATAAATCATGCTGCTATAAAGACACATGCACACGTATGTTTATTGCGGCACTATTCACAATAGCAAAGACTTGGAACCAACCCAAATGTCCAACAATGATAGACTGGATTAAGAAAATGTGGCACATATACACCATGGAATACTATGCAGCCATAAAAAATGATGAGTTCATGTCCTTTGTAGGGACATGGATGAAATTGGAAACCATCACTCTCAGTAAACTATCGCAAGAACAAAAAACCAAACACCGCATATTCTCACGCATAGGTGGGAATTGAACAATGAGATCACATGGACACAGGAAGGGGAATATCACACTCTGGGGACTGTGGTGGGGTCGGGGGAGGGATAGCATTGGGAGATATACCTAATGTTAGATGACACGTTAGTGGGTGCAGCGCACCAGCATGGCACATGTATACATATGTAACTAACCTGCACAATGTGCACATGTACCCTAAAACTTAGAGTATAATAAAAAAAAAAAAATTTTTACAACTGCACAAATTTTGATAAAAATGAGTTAAAAAAAAAAAAAAAAAAAAAAGAAATCTACCAGACTTTTTAACCAATATTCCTATGTAACTTTTTGCGTTTTCATGTTAGGTCATTGGGAAGTGAGGGAAGGCAAGTCAGAGTTTTCTAGTGAGGCTCTGCTGAGCTTCTGTGTTGTCTCTTCTAAGACATATTGCATATGTACCTTAAGAAATAAGTGAAATCATGAAAATGAATGTTTTGCTATAGTATCCTGTGGCATGTTGCTTTATACTGTGATGCATCCTTGAACATATATCATTGTATTTCTTACACTCTGACTCTATTAAATGTTTTATTCCATTTAGAATCCCAAACATAGTCTTTGCCCAAAGTTGTCAATTATCTGCAACATATACTTGATTATTTTTCCCATTGAATCAATTATCTACTGTTGCATAAGAAATTATCCCAAAACTTATCAACTTAAAATAACAAATATTTATTTTCTCACAGTGTCTGTAGATCAGGAATCCAAGTGTGGCTTAGCTGGGTACTTTTGGTTCAAAGTTTCTTAGGAAGTTGTAGATGAGCTATAAGCCAGGGCTGTGGTCTCATCTGAAGGCTTGTCTAGGGGAGAATTTCCCTTCCAAGCTCATTTATGTGATTGCTTGGATGTTTCCATTCCTCACAGGCTGTTGAATTGGGCCATTGGCTGGAGAGCTTCTCTAGCAGGCTATTGGATGGAGACCTTCTCTAGCAGGCCATTGGAGACCTTTTCCAGTTCCAAGTCAAGTGGGCCTCTACACTGGGAAGCTCGCAACATGGCACCTGGCTTTCCTATGTCCGAGCAAGTAAGAGAATGCCCCAGATGTCAAGAGAGATGGCATCCATAGTATTTTTGTAATCTAATCTTGGAAGTGACATCCCATCACCTCTGCTGTATTCTATTTGCTAAAATTGAATCATTAAATCTAGCCCATAACCAAGGGGAAGTGTTTACACGAAGGCATGGATATCTGGAAGTGGGGCTCTTTGGGTGCCATCTTAGAGGCTGCCCACCACATCCAGTTAGAACAGTCATCCCAACTGTGGGGATTATTGATATTCAAGCATTTATAATCTAGTACTCCCCAAACTCCCCCTCTTTCAAGTCTTATCCTTTGCATAATATGCAAATAAGATGGTTCAAGCAGCCACACCGCACACTGTGTGGAGCACACCTACCTCTACCACTGGTGTAGTACTTTAGATTTCCAGGGAGGGCTTACGTTCCTATGAGTTTCTCCTGAATCCTGCTTCACCCCTGTAACCTGCTCCTGATAGGTTTTCTTTGCTTCTGGTTCTATGTTACCTCTTGCTGTGGACTCTTTTCCTCTTCCTTTGTGGGACTTTCACAAATAACACTAGGTCATTTTAGTTAACAGATTTCCCCCGAAGGCTTGGAGATGATAGGAAGTAATTATAGTCAATAAAGGAAACACCCTCAAATTTAATAGAAGATATCACTATTCCTTGAAATGTACTTGTCCTTCCCCACAATTAGAAATTTCTCACTGCCTGGGACCATCCGTCTGTTTTCTGAGCATGGCTTCAGTGTAAACCTTTTCCACTTTCTACTCAAAGACCAGATATGCCTACATACTTAGGGACAATGAGAAAAGGCAACCTTGGCAAAGACACACAGTCCCTGCCATGCCTTTTCTTCAGAGTGATGGGTGCCTACTCACCTAATATTTACATAATCAAGTAGGACCATTCAAGTGTTGGTTAAGAGAATGTGCTTCAATGTGAATTTCTTTGTCCATCTAGACAAAGGCACATTTGGAAGCTTCTCTTTCTAAACATTTTTAAGGCTCTCTTTTTTCAGGCACTCAGTTATAAGAGTATGATCTTATTTAGAAAGAAGAAACTCCACTATTTATAGAAATATAAGGAAACAAACTTAGAAGCGAGACACAACCAACTGTTAGAGTAATTCCATCTGAGAAGTGAGTTTATTTAGAAGAAGCCCTATAGGCGGGGTCATAGAAGAACTATGTAGTGAGACAGATTTCTGCTTTATATAGTACACATATCTGTATATTTTAAACAATAAAATGTATTATTTTTTGTCATTGTCGTCAAAATTTAAGAATAAAGCATCCTGGCATTAAAGAAAAAGAAAGATCATGAACAAAGAAACAAAGGCCAGCTTCAAAATACTCTTCAGCAATGCCAAGTACTAGAAAATAATGGAACAATATATCACAGTTTTGATGGGAAAAGCTTATGGGAAGAATTTTGTCTTCAGCTGTTTTTCCACACCTGATGGCAACGGAAATAAATTCTCAGATATTCAATGGTTCAGCCGGTATACCACCCTCATATTCAGATGGAAGAAAATTTTTGTATATGCACTCCTATGTCTTATTTCAGCTAACCAGATAAAGACACAAAGAATAAAAAATATATAATTCAGAGTATAAAATTATTAAAGAACATAAATATCAATATAAGAGAGAATTCATTAACCAATCAAAAAGTATTTATTGAATACGAATAATGTATCAGGCATACTTCTAGGATCTTAGTAAATAAATCAGCAAATAAAACAAAGACCTGTGCTCTTAAAGAGCTTTCATCTTAGTTACATAGTGTGCTTGATTGGCCCATTAAAAAGAAAAAAGAAGGATAACCAATAAAGGGCAACCAGAGTGTAAGGAACTTGATGTCCAAGTTATAATTCCCAGAATGACATTTTAGAGATAGATATAAAAGTCTTTACTAAACCAATGAAAATCATACAGTAGTATATTACAAGATAATGTTTAGACTATATTGTGCAGATTTTATTCTTGGAATATAATATTCACTTATTAGTAGCACATTTATTAATATTGTCCATCAGTAATAGGTCAAAGAAAAAAACAACATAATCATCCGGCAGATGCTCTAAAATCATCTCATAAAATTTAATATCCATTCCTGGGAAAAGTCTGAAAAAATAAGCAAGAAAGGAAATTTCCTTAACATTAGGATGAATATCAAAATGTAGAGGCAACATTCTGAAAATTGAAATATCAGAAAAACTTCACTTAAAATTCAGAGACAAAAAAATTATCCTTAATGTCTTCATTATTCAACATTACCTTGTAAATGTGCAATGCAATAAAAGAGCTAAAGCTATTAAAGTAAGCAGAAAAATATTTTACAAATCATTAATTTACTGATCTAGAAGTCCCAAGATATTTTTTTAAAAAATTATTAGAGCTAATAAAAGAAGATAGGAAAATGTTCAGATGCAAGAACAAATATAAAATATTAATAGTTGTTGGTGAAATCAATAATTCAGTCAAAATTATGATGGTGAAATTATTTTATTAATGCCATCATAAATAATTAGGCAAATTTATAAATAACTCTGTGAAAAACAACTTAGAGAACTGTGTGTCATCTATATGAAAATAATTAGAAAACATATGGGGAGATATAATAGCATCATAAATGTAGAGATATACCATGTTTATGAATGGGAATGCTAAATATTATAAAAGAAATTATTTAATTCCTCTGAAATAATTTAAAGGTTTAATGTGACTCAAAGATTTTATTAAGATTATTCTTACTTGACAAAGTGAAAACATAGCTCATTTTAAAAAATATATAGTTTTGAATAGTGAAAAAGTTTCAAAAAGATAATATAAAGTAAGTTGGAAAGGGCAGTAAAGAGAGATTTGTCTTACAAGATAGCAAAACATACAATAAACTTTCAGCTATCAAGATGGTATGTATCTTGGGCAAGAATTGATCAATATAAACATTTAGAAACTGACTTTCATACATGCAAGAATTTAATATACAGTTAAATTTCCATCATAAATCAGTATGTAAAAAGAAGAGTATTCAATAAATAATGCTGGAACAATTGATTATGTACTTGGGGAAAAACAAAGAGAAATCAAAATGACTCAGTGCTATGCTTAAAATTAAGACAAAATCAAACTAAATCAAAGTACACTATTCTAGTAATGAAACTAGAATAAACTATAAATGGGCATTTTTTAGGCTCCAGGAAGGAGAAATTGTTTCTAAGGATGAATATATGGAAGAAATCACAAAGCAAAAATAATAAACAAAACAAAACCAGTAGCTTTAACTTCTTAAAAATCTAAAACCTGTTTCTCAAGAGTTATTATGAAAATAAATTCTAAATATTTGACAAACTGGGGAATTATTTGTAGACAAAGGGCTAATCTTCTTTAAATATTTTTAAAAATTGCTTTCAAATTATAAAGAGACACAGTACTATCTCAGTAGAAAATAGTGAATAAAGGACATGGATGGATAATTCACCAAAGAGGAAGCATAAGAAGCTTTTCCAAAAAATACAGAAAAAAAAGTTTGACCTTTTTAGTCATGAAACATGTGGGTTAGAATAACAATTAAAATGTTTCCTGAATTTAAATATAAAAAAAAGAAAAGCTATAATACTCAGTGAGGATTATACTAGTACTAGATACAATCTTGTCTGGAAAATAATTTTGGAAATATATGCCAAAGGAAGTAGTTATATATTAATATCCTTTGACTTAAATAATTCTTATGTTCTTAAAATAGCAGCTATTGTGGCTTGCGCCTGTAGTCCCAGCTACTCAGGAGGCTGAGGCAGGAGGATCACTTGATGCCAGGCATTCAAGTCTGCAGTGAGCTACAGACGTGCCACTGCACTCCAGCCTGGGCGACAGAGCAAGACTTTGTCTCTAGAATTAAAAAATCAAATAAAATAGCAGCTATTTGAAAAGTTTCATTGTCTAACAATAGGGAAGAATAGTTAAATGTTGATAGATTAATAATAATAAAGTTAAATGTTGATAGATTAAATGCAGATAAATAATATTGTATTTTTACCACAATTATAAATCATATTCTCAAATAAATTATTTAATAACCTCAAAAATATTCAAAATGTAAATGAAAAATTATTTATGTTACATAATCATATTTCTGTGTATCTATGCACACACACCTACAAATACCAATGCATGTGTATACAGAAAAATAACTAGAGGAAAATACTTAAAACCTAATTTTATCTTAATGAATGAATTATGGATGGCTTTTCATTTATTCTCTTTTTTGCAATTTTGAAAATACTATTGAAATAATTTGAAAATAATAAATTGAAAATAATATTGTATTTTTATAATAATTACAGAATTGTTGAAGAAAGCTAAGGGGATACTAGTAGAATACAGGAGATATTTGTTTATGTAGTCATCCAACAAATATAACAAGCATCTACCAGTACCAGGCGTTGTGTTAGGTCCCCAGTATATAAAGGGTCAGCAAAACAATCAGGTGCCTTTCCCTTGTGACTTTACAGTCCTTGTACCTCTCAAGATTTGTATTTCTGGTTTTCAACCTCTTCTTTTCTAATATTATCTCAATCAGAATAAATAGCTTGCATTTTTGTCATACTCAGCAAAAAAATTTAGCTTGCTTCCCCACAAAGAAAACCTAGCAACCAATTCTCTTAACTTCCCATCTTTTTGCTATAATAGGCAGCCCTCCCCTGGAGCTAACTTTTTTCATGAAAGATGATTGTGTCATCAGTAGCAGCCACATTACTAAATGACACCTTCCTTTCTCTCTGATGTGTTAGCAGCCCAGGAGCTCAAGTTAGCAGAAATCTGTGCTGAGGCCTGGAAAAGAATGAATTGTTTCTTTTTTTCTTTTTCTTTTTTTTTTTTTTAGACGGAGTCTCGCTGTCGCCCAGGCTGGAGTGCAGTGGCGCGATCTCGGCTTACTGCAGGCTCCGGAATTGTTTCTTTTAAATAAGCTCTAAGATGGATTCTAGGAAGAGCTATAGTAAGCTACTTCCCCCCACTCCAAGATTTTGTTGTTATTTCTACAATATAGTGTGTGTCTGCGTGTGATGCATTAGTGCACAGGTGCTATATACATATTATATATGTGTACTAGATTTCCCAAATGAAACTTTACAATTTATGAAAGATATGTTTACCAAATGATTCCAAAATTAACCTTCCCCATTGCCCTTTTAATTACTGATTCTCTGGGCAAGAATTTTAAAACATTATTTTTCCTGCAGTCGAAACAGCTTCTGTCAGCCAGTCATTCAACATGTAGTGAGAATCCCTTCTAATGATCCTAGCCACTGGGAATATTGAGATGAATGAGGCATAGTCTTTACCCTCAATGCCCTTAGAGGGTTGAGCAGAGATGCAGAGAATATTACAATACTGTGAGCTAAGGACCATGTTTCAGAAGCTTTAGGAGGCAAAGGAGAGTTTACTTAATAAATTCTTTTAAAATATGTTTTTTGTGCTAAATTTGCAAAGATGTGTAGAAGTTTGAATGGCACGCAAAATGAGAACGGACAAGAAGGAGCATGTGAAAAGTTAAGGAACCCTGCAAGAACACCATAAAGTGTATACCAGGGTAATTTGTTGACCTAATGATGGTTGTCTTGTTTCTGCTTCTGTGAAAGAGTTGGGAAGAATGTGAGTTCTTTATGTTTTTCTCATTGTATTTCCCTCTACTCTCCCTACATTCTAAGAAGTTACCGGCCGGACACGGTGACTCACGCCTGCCATCCCAGCACTTTGGGAGGCCGAAGTGGGCGGATCACGAGGTCAGGAGATCGAGACCATCCTGGCTAACACGGTGAAACCCCATCTCTACTAAAAAATAGAAAAAATTAGCCGGGCGTGGTGGCGGGCGCCTGTAGTCCCAGCTACTCAGGAGGCTGAGGCAGGAGAATGGCGTGAACCCGGGAGGCGGAGCTTGCAGTGAGCCGAGATCGCGCCACTGAACTCCAGCCTGGGCGACAGAGCGAGACTCCGTCTCAAACAAAGAAGTTACCACGCACTTATCTAAATCCTTTTTATAGGAAAAGGTTAGAAACATGCTATTTACTAATAAACCAGAATAATTTCTAGTGTTCTATAGCACTTCAGGATGACCATAATAAACAATAATTTATTGTATATTTTCAAATACCTAGAAGAGAGAATTTTGAATATTTCCAACACAAAGAAATGATAAATGTTTGAGGTAATGGATATGCTAATTATACCGATTTGATCATTACACATTGTATATATGTATCAAAATATCATACTCTCTCCTATAAATATGTACAATTATTATGTCAATTAAAAATAATTTTTTAAAATAAAAATAAACATAGGCAGATTGAGTCAAAGTCTAAATGCTACAACCACAACCTTGCCAAAGGATTCACACACAGAGTATGTAAAGAACTCCCATAAGTCACTAAGAATAAACATTTAAAAAATAGCTACAGGTTATAAGGTTCATAGAAAAAGAAATTCAAAGGAGCAACAAACTGCAAAAAGATGTTCAATCTCATTTGGATTTTGTGAAACGCAAACTAAAGCAACAACACAATGCCATTTTTCCTCTCATCAAGTAGACAAATATTGAGACTTCTAATGATATCAATTATTTGCAAGGATTTGGGGAAAACAGAATTCTCACACATTACTGGTAGGAGCATAAATTATCATAACAATTTCAGAGATAAATTGATAGTTGTTAGCAAAATTATGACTATGCAAACTTTATGAGCTAACAGTCCACTTCTAGATGTGCAAACTAAAAAAATTCTCACGTGTATGTACCACAAAACATGGTTAATGAAAGTAATTAACCTATTGTTTAATATAAATAATATAATTATTAAAATATAATAAACAATAATTAAATATATTGTTTAATATAAATAAGATAATATAAAGCTGACAGCAACAGAAATGTCTACTACAAAGAGAATAGGTAAATAAAACTTGATGTTTATAGTTGTGTAATGAAATACTTTACAGTGAATAAAACGTGGGTTACCTCCCCTTCTCCCTCACCCATTCAAGTGTCAGATGGGAAGGAGAGATTACTCAAATTTTGGACAGGTCTGTGGATTCTTAGAACAAAGAGAAAGAGCAAGAATAGCCAGGAAGAGAAATGATTTTTGAGGTGCATCCAGGAGATGGATATTGAGAGGGTGGGCCCCGGGGGATCTAGAGGGGTGGGGTTTTCTTGTGTGTTCCCAGTGTTGGCCGTCACACTGGATGCCCTAGACATGCATGGAAAAATGATGACCAGAGACCAGACTCAAACCCTATACTCCTGTGCCCCATCTCTTGTTGCTGGGAACATCCTCCAGAAATTAGGTGCAACACTGGGAAGGGTGGGGGAATTCTCCAAAATGACAGAGATAAATTTCTGCTACACTGAAGGAATGAAGGCTCAGAAATTAGATTGAGTTATCAAAAAATGAACATATTTCTTGTACAGTTAAGTCAGCCAACTGACATTCATATCACTACAGTTGCATCTGTAGTAGGTAGTCATACTTTAGGTAGAATAGTCTGAGAAGGGAAGAGTATGTGAAGCTTACAAATAGAAATCTAGAGGAAAAAAGAAAATCATTAGGGACAAAATGTCCATTTCAACTTGTCCCCTGTTTTTAATGCCATCATATGCACTGAAGTCATCCTGTTTGTTTGTAAAGCCCCAAGTTTGTCTTTGAAAATTCCTGCACCTATTTCTTGTGAGTTAATGTGACCTGCTTGTACCCTTCAGACTCTGATCATATTAGAACTTTTGTCTTGGGGAAAAGAAAACACAAAAACAAAGGAAAGTCCATGGGTTACTGGCTTCCTGGGGCTTCCCCGGGCTGGACCCTTGGGGCTTAAGTAATTTTATTAGATTCTCTCTCTCTCTCTCTCTCTTTCTCTCTCTCTCTCTCTCTCTGTCTGTCTCCTTGTCTCTGTCCTCCTCTCTCTTTACTAGATTCTTTCTCTCTTTCTCTTTTTATTAGATTCCCTCTCTCTGTCTCTGTCTCTGCCTCTCTTTCTTTATTAGATTCTCTCTCTCCCTCTCTTTCCCCCTTTCTCCCCCACTCCCTTCTTATCTTCCTCTTCTTCCTCCTCCTCCCAACTTTTTAGTCTGCTACTTGGTCTCATTTTATCCAAGTGTAGATGGACTTTTTTTAGGCAGTTAGGGAAAATGGTTGCCAGAAGCTCCACGTTTATACTATCTGAGCTTAGTAACTTCAGGAAAAGGATAGATGCTTTTTCCCATATATCAATCTCAAGAAAGGATTCTGAGTTCCTTGTTTGGGTCACGTGTCTACTTGAAACACATGGGGTGTGTTGCCAGGAGGAGAAGGCGCTGTGATGATATTCTACCAGACCAAGTGGAATGGGGGCGGGGCATTTTCCCAAGTGGAAGAGAGATGCCATTACCAGACAAGAGGAAGAGATGCTGGGCAACAAAACTAACTGGTACTACACATCCACAAAAAATTCCCTCTAGTTATTCCTAAACTTCAGTTACTTGAACTTCCTCCCATTAGTGATTCTCTGGTGAATTAAGGTGGAACTTCGAAGGAAAAGGGCATTCATTCTCTGAATCATTCTTCCATGGAGGTCAGCATGGTGGCAGCAACGCCAAAGTGATGGAGATGGCAGCTCCAAAGCTCCAGGTGATCGTCTCAGAGCAAAGACATCTTAAGGCATACGTGAAAGTAGGTATGAGAAATTAGATGATAACAGAGAAGGCTTCAGCATGAACTGGCCCAGAAGTGGATACAAGGCAAATTTCTCCTTCCCTCAAATGTTTAGAGAGGAAAATGCCTTGGGATGGGGACAAGGAGACAGCCCTGCTTTTTCTTACATGCCTAAAATTTACAGCTCACACACCTCATAAGCTTTATACTGCTTTGCTCTCCCTGCACTCCCCTCTGCTTCGTTTGCCTCTTTTCTCGATTCCTTTTTTCATTCCCCTCTACCTCCCATGCTTACTTCCTCTCCTTTTAGACACACTTCTTTTCATCTTCTCTATTTTCCTGTAAGATCCAAAGTCATTTTTGATAAAACAGCCAACTCTAGATGTTCTGGGAAAGATAGTCATTATTTTTGCCGACTACTGAACATGAGAAGACTCTCTATGTCTGTAATGTGATGAGAGTTGTTCCTCCTGTTTCAAAGGCTATGATTGAAGGCACCAAGGAGGAAAGATAAAAAGACATACATAGCAATGTGAGAAGACATCTAATAGGTTAGAATATATTCACACAAATATAAAGGTATCTATTTGGAAGTGAAAAGCCCGGAGAAATGCATGGGAAGAGGTCACTTCCTTGAACATCTTTACTTTTTAACAAAGCTGACAGACACACAATCAAAAGACCCCAAAATGCCGTCTGCAGACCTGAATGGAGGGTGTCTTGAGTGCCTTGCTCTACAGGCAAGAGGAACTGGAAGGCTGTAGTATCAGTATTTGTTCTGTGCCTGGTTGGCTAATAACCCACTACCTAAAATTTAAAAAGTTTAATTTTGAATGCAGCCATACCTGAAATCACCCCATGTTTTTGGTTGCAGCTTTAGTTCCAGTGTCCACCATGGGAAAGACCAACATACAGCTTCCCTCTTACTTTCTACTGACTTCACAGCTCTCTAGTCAGATGGAAGTGTGAGTGCTTTTTTATTCGTCCACGGGAAACATCTGTCCTCCCTGAGCTTGGCCATGCTGTGAAAAGAGAGATGATAGAGTATCGCTTTACAGCCTGCTTCCTCAGTAGCTGATCACCAGGCAAAATGTCAGAGCAGCTGGTGCTCATCAATTCACACTCTGTGATGTCAAATACCAATTAGGACTGTGAACTCCTAATTGCCTCATTTCTAGCCACATTTTAAAGTAATTAATAAGTAATTGAGTAATGCGTTAATAATAGCCTTAATCATTTTTCTAATGATCAGCTCTTGTATATAGTCATCTTTATGACCCACGAGGAGCATTGCATCTCAGATCATATCTTGTTAATAGCCCCCAAGCAGTAAAGCAATCATTTCTTAACAGGGCCATTTGCTTTCCTCCCTCAAAGCATTATCAAAAAAAAAAAAAAAATTAACCTTCAAACTGCAGCCTGTAACACCCCTGTTTTTCTTTTTCCCCTCCTCTTTCATATTCTGTCCCTTCCTTTTAGTCAATTTATTCTCCCATTGGAAATCAGAAGTAAGTGTCAACATCCAGGAGTGATTTCTAATTGCAGTGAAACTTTACTGCATGACCATTCCTGAGCATTTTCTTCCTTCACTGATGAGAACATTTATCTTGACTTCCAGTTTTGTTTCATCATAATTATAGCTCATATTTATCTGTTAGATATGAAAGCACATATTAATCTTTGGATTTCTATTTAAAAAGAATGATAGCAACTATAAAACTACCCAAACCATCAGGAAAGCTATAGGCAAGAGGTATACAGAGCTATAAGGATTCCCCAAATAGGTTGAAACTTGCCCTCCTGATCATCCACAGCAGTTAAGATCCAGGGCAACCAAGACATTTAGAAGTGCGTCAGAAGAGCATTGGAAACCTCTGTCAAATATCATCAAACTTTGGTCTTAGAGGTTAGAGGGTTTAGGTATGGGAACTCTAATTCTAAAGATGCTTAATATGAGTCCAGCTCAATGATTGTGGAGGTAAGTCTATTGGAGACTAATTTATAGGGCTTAGTTGGAATATGACAAGACCCTATACCAACCAAGCCCTGTAAATTAATTATTAATTATTCTTATTTTATTATTATCTTATTTCTTCTATTAACTATTTCTTCTTTCTCTAGAATTCATAACTCCTCTTTCTCTCCACTGATATTTTCCATTCAGAATATAAATATACTGAAGTGTTTCCTCAAAAAAAAACCCATAAAGCTTAGCTCTTCAGTGCCTTTCCTCTCACCTCTAGCAACTACCTAGTGTCAGTAATATGCCATTCTATCTACAGTGACCCCTCAAAACAGGTCCACGCCAATAGGCAGAGAGTTCAATAGTATTTAGAATAGTGTTTCTCAAGGAGGTGGTGGGGTTACGTGAGGTGTCAGAATTTGGGGAAGAAAAGTATCAAAGGTGGATACAAGTAGGTACAGCTATAGAATATACTTTCCTTATCTCCAACTCCTGCTTCTAGTTGAGAACTACTGCCTTAAAATTATGTCATATTAACTTCTCATTTGGAGTCTTTTGATAAGTCCTCTAAATGATGAAATCAAGACTGTTCCTGTAGCTAGATCCAAATATGAGAGGCATAAAGGTGATTATAATATGCATACTCCCTCAGGTTAAGTTCCCCAGAAACAGACTTTGCAATCAAGATTTGATGCAGGAGTTTTGTTGAAGACTGTTCTTGGGAATAATCCATACAAAGGAGTAAGAAGGAAACTGGATTTTGCTGAGAGAATGCTTAAAGTGAGATGCAGTGGCACTGAAGTTTCAGCCAGTCTCATGGGAATTCTGAAGCTGAAATGGCCCTTTGGAGATGTCTTGAACAGAGGCAAGGAGACTGGGTCCTGATACCTTTGCATCAACCAGTCATTAAATACAGGTTGCCAATGGGTAGGGAGAAAAACCCTTGACAGGGACAATTTCTGGGAGGGACTCAGCCTTTAGCAACCAGTATCCAACCTTCCTGGCAGCTGGAAGAATGAGTGCCTCGTTCCTGGAAGGGGGATCCAGATGACACATCCCGGCATCCAGTACATTCATTCTTCCTCCCTCTAAGTCATCTTACTCAAGCACATCCTGGTACCTCAGCCTCGACCATCTTTTCTTATGCATAAGTGTGGTGGCCTCCTCATTTCCTCATTTGCCTCAACCTGCTCTGTAGGGACAGGATTTGTTTATCCTTTCCCCTATTCTTTCCAGAATATAGCTCTATTCACTTCCAACAATAACCAACCACACTTTTTTTTTCTGAGACTTTGGTCTAATTTCAGATACTTCCTCTAAAACTTGTTCAAGGGGTGACTAACTGAAGTCAAATGCAATTCTCAGGAAAGAGATTGGAACTCTTACATTCCCTTTGTCTGTCCTTTTCTTTAATGAGAATTTTAGTAACTTCCTAATTGTCAAAGTCAAAGGACATTTTTTAGTCTTCAACTTATCGGACATCTCTAGAACAGGACATCTCTAGAATATTGGACATCTTTATTCTACACTTCTACGCTCCCTCCTCTCCTTTTCCCACTGTTTTTGGACCTCACAGTCTCCTCATATTCTGTTTACCTCTCTGACTCTTGTCCCTTAGATTCTAGGCTCTTCTCTTCTGTCTATTCCTTAAGACATCAGTATAATATCTAGACCACACTAATAACACAAAAATCGTATTTAGTTTTATTATCCTTTTTTACATATCAACAATATGCTATTAATATTCATATGTATAGATCTGGCTTATATGTCTTTACTGAATAATTTTGCTATATATGTGTGATCTATGGTTGTAGATATTGGACATCTTTGGACATTTGCCCTGAAATGTCTTAGATAAGGTAGGCACAGTATGGTCTCTTTTTCCTTCACTCAATTCCTCTCCCATTTCCCTGATTCAGGTAATGGCACCACCAGGCACACCCATTAACAAGCCATTCTAGGCTCTGGCTGCTTCTTCTATTCCCTTGTGTAATCTAACAGCAAATCTGTTTGCTCTACTTACTAAGTAATTTCAAATCTCTTCACTATTCTCTACATTGCTACTGATTCTAGTAGAAGTCTCATAAATTCTCACCTAAACCTGTTTAATAGCTTCCTAATGGGTTTCTTCACTGCATTCTCCCCTCCTCCAATTCATTTCCCACACTGCTACCAGAATGATTTGCTTACAACACACATCTAATCTTATTGCTCTTTCCTTAAAAGCCTTCAACTTCTGATTGCTTTCTGGATAACATTCAAACTCCTTGCCATGGTATTAAAGATCTCATGATCTGGCCCTTGCCCAGGTCTCTAGCTTTATCTTTTGCCATGCTTCATTGCAGACATACCAGATATTTTGTACATTCCAGAATCTATCATCTTTCTCATACCACCAAGTCTTGCTCCTGCTGATCTATTTGGAACATCCTTTCCCTCATAGAGAAGCTGTTTTTCAGAACTGAGTTATGTTTTCATAGCATTTCTCATCTGACTGTATTGTCCAAGGAAACAATCTATAGGGGTGATGGCCAGTTGGTAAGCTTTACATGAATAACCTGTGGCCCATAGAGGGGAAGATGAATGTAGACAATGGTTAATTCTTAGGGATGAAGAAATGTACTTTCATTATTTCAAAATGGAAATAATAGAAAATAAAACATATAAGATACTTAGAATTCTGAAAGGATAGAAACCTAAGTTGAATTTGCTACTGAGGCAATCCAGTAAATACTGAAGGAAAATTACAGCTAAATTATCATCATTGGAAAAGTCCCTTGTTAGAGAGGGACCAAACGAACATAACTGCAACTCTGGGTTCATAAAAAGATGTTAAAAGGAGGATGGATTAAAGGACAAGCACATGCCCATTGTTTGCCATTAGTTGCTAAATGCAGGTAGAAGATAGTCAAGTGGCAGCTCTCTTGGCTTAAGCAAGTCTGTGCCGCCCTGTTTCCTAGAAATAGACAAAGGTATGAGCCAAGACTATCCATAGGTGGTTGCCCAAGTCAAAGGGCCTGCTTGGTAGTCATATTTCTGGCCCTCCCTCCCTTATAGTCTTTCAAGGAATTAATATGATGATTAGATGAGACTCCCATAGCCACTTTTATCATATAAGAGGGATCTTGTAGTCATTTATCTTTTAGAAGAGACCCACTTTGGGTGAACATGTATGTGCCTATCTGCCATGCATGAGAGGGTTTGCCACCTGTCATCTATGATCTTTTCAGAAAACAAATCCAACTGCTATTTTTCTAGGTCTACAGATGCCAAAGTTATATAAGATTTGAAGGAGCCCATCCCAATGAAAAAATATATATGTAGCTCTTCAAGGGTAAAAAAAAATATCATGGAGCAAATTTTTAAAATTGGCACTTCAAAATAGAGTATTACACTGAGAAATCAGGGCAAATGGGCCATTTTTTTTAAAAAAGAATTGATACAGCGAATAGTAAAAATCTTTAAAGAATTCTAAATTCTGTCATCTGTTAATGGGATATTGCATTGATAAGACATAGCCAGCTGCCATAATAAAGAAAAAATTGACAATAAGAAAGTGTGTTTCAATAAAAAATTATATTTGCCAAAATAAAAAAGAATCAATAGAGGTGATAAACAAGAATGTATGCTACCAAAAACTGAATTAAGCAATTTAATAATTGAAACAAATAACTCTCCATGAGTACAGAACAAGAAAACAAAGAGATAGAAATTATGAGAAAACTCATGTAGACAAACCCAAGTGTTCTAATTTCTAAACAATGGTAAGTTAAAAGGAAAGAAGTAGCTCATGGATAAGAAATAACAATGAAA
Organism: Homo sapiens; assembly: GCF_000001405.40. NCBI lineage: Eukaryota > Metazoa > Chordata > Mammalia > Primates > Hominidae > Homo > Homo sapiens. The sequence continues at coordinate 7,218,073 of NC_000011.10, read as the reverse complement.
ATTGAACTGGAGGAGAATTTATCTGAGCTGAAAACCTAAATACTTGGCAAGATCATTGAAAAATATCTACATACATTTATACACATCGTGGTGACATTCTGGAATCAAAAAATAAAGTCATAAAAGCTTCCATATAGAAAAGAGCAATTACCTAAAAAGGAGGAGACTCAGATTGGTACCAATATTTTCATTTATGATATTGGAAATACAGTAACAATGAAGCAATATCTGTGGATTTTTTAGGAAAAGAGATGGTGATCATGCATTACCATACCCAATCAAATTTTGTTCATTCATGAGAGCAAGAAATTTGTATTTTTAGATATGCAAGCTCTCAGAAAGTATCACATGCATGCTTCCTTTCTGATAAGAAAAAGAAACTCATCAAAGTACTCTAGCCAAATGAAGGTTGCATTAGCATAAAGATCTCAAGATGGCAAAATTTTAACATACAAGAAACAGTAGCAATCGATGCGACTAGTGGTAATTTAATTTAAGTAACAGTGGGTACTATGGTCCTGAAATATATGTAGGAATTATTAAGAAAGAATTGTTTAAATAGAAGGGACACAATGTAAGAAAAATGTGAATAACAATGTAAGAGTTAACATTGAGTTAAAATGTGAATAGCAATGTAAGAATGCAGGTTCTCAAGGTTAACTGATATTTCTATCACTTTCTAGCTGTTATAATCAAAGACAAATTAAGTAACCTCTTGTGCCTTAGTTTCCTTCTTAGTATAATGAGAATGATAATAGCATCTGCTTCATAGAGATGTTTTGAAGAATAAATAAATTTATATATGTATATAATATATATTATACATATATAGTTTAGAATGCTTAGCATATAGTAAGTACTTAACAAACACCATCTATTATCATAGAATGATAATATCTATCTCTTTGTTTTCTTGCTCTGTTTCTTGCTATTACTTTTATTATGTCATTGAAGGGACAGAAACAAACACTATCTAATCCTTAACACTGCTAGAAAACAATATAGGTTCCAAATGTCCATTTAAATCAAGTAAACTGGTAGAAAACTAGAAAGTTTATAGAAATTTGAATTCAATTGAAGAGAAGGGAACAAAGACAACTTGATTAATCCAGCTAATTAACTGAGATGACAAATACAGTACAAGGAGCTTTTTTGGGAATGAATATAAACTCAATTTGGACACCACGAATTTGAGATACTTCTTAGACAATTGAGTGGATATATGGAACTCAATCTGAGGGAGATCTAGGCTAGGGACATATAATTTTTTAAATGAAAGCATGGGAGGATTTCAAGAAAGAGGATTAGTGTGATGTGTGCCTGAAAGGTATGATAATATAGTTAGATTTGGCCATGAAGAGACCATTGGCAACTTAGAGCAAGCCTGATCATTGCAGACTAAAGAGGTGACTGATGCCCTGGCCACATGGAGAGTCAGATGGCCAAAATGAATCATCCTGCCTGACAAATGCTACAGTCAGGGAAGAGTGTATCTGTCTCTGCTGAGGAATAAACCCTCACACATGAAATGGCATTCTACGGACAGGATTAGGCCATGAGGCAAATAGGCAGTCATTATTTAGTTCATTCCACAAATATCTACTGTCACCTATGTGCCAGAGGCTGTGCTAGACTCTGGGCTATGGTGGGTAGAACACACCTTCTCTGCCCTCACTGGGTATTAAGGTCTATAGTTATGGGAAAATGAAGTATTTTCCTCAACCTACAACAGAGAGAAGTTTCCTTCCAAATATTAAATTAACAAGATGAATGCCAGAATATAAGAAGCCTCCAACTTCTTTTTTTTACCCTCTCAGAAAGAAACATTTATTTATTATTTTTATCAGTATTCACTATGTCCTGGCATATAGGACTGTCGAATATATTACTTGCGTCTCCAAATCCCGTGCATCTCAGTAAAAGGGACTCCTTTATTTTACTAGGGCTGTCGATCACCCACTCTCCTTAGATAAGCAGACAGAAAGAGAAGTCTTTCCGGGCTCCTGCAAACTGCAAGTCACCTATGCAGGAGAAAGCCTGGGCATTTCTTAGGAAGACTTCTCCCCCTCTCTTCAGCCCATTCACCTGAAATCAATCTTAGGAAGGAGACTGGGTAAGGGAATATCTTTCTTGGTAATCCTTGTGAATGTCATAGATTCAAACTCCATAGTTATCAGTTGTGTAGTGACAACAGTTTCCAGATCATGTAACTTCACATTCTCATTTGATTGTGCTGCATTCCCCACTGCAGTAATAGGACAGTGGCCATTTCTCATCCATTGCCTCAAGTGAGTGTGGGAAGCCTGGAAATTCAGAATTCTAGGTGTAAGTTCTGAAGATGCATTGAAGATGCATTGTACATAGGACTAGGAACTGGAGCAAAGAAATCTTTGCTCAAAAATGTAGGAGGCAGAGGGTACCAAAACCAAAGGCATACACAAGGCGCAGGTGGGAACTCTGCAGAGAGCTAGAGTCGCTGTCCTAAATTTGGGGTATGGATGCAGGAGACAAAAATCTGGGATGATGAAAGCAAGAGCAACAGGCACTAAAAGGTTGGTGATTGCCATATGTGACTACTTATATTTAAATTGGGATAAGATAGACAGAGTTTCTGAGGCCTATTGAAATTACATATGATCACCATAAACATGAAGCAATTTTCTTGGTGTGTTAAGTTAGAGAAGGTCTGTGTGGGTTATAGAAATGAGAACATAAATTTGTGCTAGCTCCAATATGCATCCCTTAGAATAAGCCCACTTTAGTTTCCTGGAAAATTATTACTGTTGGCTGCAGGATATTCCAGTGAATGGATACATTATTGTGAACATAACTATTCCCTTACTGTTGAAAATTTATGTCATTTCCATTTTTCACTAATATTATACTATGATTAACATCTTTGTATGTGCATTAATGTTTCCATTAAGTATTTCAGTATATCCTCAGGATAGGTACACTTGAAGAATTTTAAGAAGAAATGTAACTTAATCAGATCTGTATATTAGAAATACAGTTTCAATGACAGGGAAAAAGAATTGGAAACAGAAAGACCAAACAGGAGACTATTAGCAATAACCCAGGTAAAAACTGTAATTGCTGCACTCAGAAACTGTTTGTGTCAATGACTATTGAAGGAAGAACTGATATAATGGATGTCAGAGCAGATGTAGTCGGGAGAGAAAGGAAGAACTCGGATAATTCCTTGGTTTCTAGGAGGTGAACCTGTTAAATTGAAGATACCTATGAGACATCATGAGGGAGAGATTGAATGGCTGGTTGGGATGTACAGCTCTAGCACACAGGAGATTTATAAAGTGGAAGACATCGCTATTATTTGTCTGCATATAAGTGATACTCGAAACTGCAATTGCATAGATGTGATTACCCAGGAATATTGTGCAGAAAGAAGAGGTCAAAAAAGACCAGAGTCTTGGGAAACCTGAAATAACATGGGCAGAGGGAGAAGATTCTCTATTTCTTCAAAGTAGAGGTCAATGATATAGAAGAACGAAAATATGATGTGATTAGAGAAATGAACTCAATGAACTTCAAAAATGGAATAACAATGTTTCCTAATCTTAAAGACAATTCCAGTGAGATGAGGATTAGAGAACAATTGGTATCAAATTTTCTTCTGACTCCTAGATTTCTTCCATAGTTCTCATTTTCAAACTGGATAAAATTTGATTCTTAGTGAATTACTGGGGAAAAAATGCATACTTATATGTGATGTTTGTCATAAGCCTAAATTTCACAAAATCATATATAATAGATTTAGTTCTGCTATAATCATTTTGACTGTTATTTTGGTTTATACCACATAATATATACTTATTTATTTTAGAAATGATATATAAATTTAATCTTTTTTTTGAGATTCATCTTTGATCCTTTGTGACACCCACTAAAATACTTTGTTTATTGCCATTTCTTACCAAATATTTATTGAATTTATTTGCTTGAATCTACAATATAATTTTAAGCATCCAAGAGAAATACTCAATAAATGTTTATTGAATTAATAAATTAATGAGTCATTGCATCTAAAGTCTTAGTCCTGTGCCTGGAAGCCTTGCTGCAGCTAGAGGTAATGTGGTATGATTGAATGAGATGGTAAACATAATAATTAATCACTGACTGTGTGCCAGCCACTGGGACAAGCAACATGTTATCATCTATCTCTCCATCTATCAGAACCTGCATCTTTATTCTTTCTCTTCTTTCTCTCCTATGGATGGATATCTCCTGTGTCTATCTAAGGCCAGGGCTCTCACTGATGGACTCAGTGGTATCCTCATAAATGTTTAACACCCTACTCTTTTAGGATAAAAAAGTCCATATTTGCAGTATTTGCCAATGTATGTGGTGTAAATAGTCCAACCTCGGCCTCTTACAAGCTGACAACATGATGTCACTGAACATGGAGTTGGTAAGAGATGCTAATGACCCACTCTTGGGAGCCTGTGTGAGTGGGGCTCAAGAACACCAGTAGATGTGCTAGATCCCACCCCTTTTTTGTCACCCAAGAACATTGTTTTAGCAATTCTTCCCTCTTGCTCCTGAAATAATAATTTCCCTCTCTACTGGAGCTCCCTTATCAGCCTATGAACATAGTATCATTTCTCCTATTGAAAAAAAAACAAAAAAACAAAAAAAATCAAACCTACTTTCTGTCTCCAGTTACTGTGCCATTTTTTCTGCTCAGCTTTCAGCAAAACTTTTTGAAATAGTTGTGTATACTTGCCGTATATAATTCTCTTTGATTTTCTCTCAAATTCAGTCAGACTGCTTTCATCAGTCCCCAAAAACACTTTTTAAGATCAGTAATGACCTCATGATTGCTAAATCTAATAACTCAATGTTTAATTCCATATTTAATTCCTTTTGAACCAGTATTTAATTTCACATCTAGTCCGTAGGATTGGACACTTGGCTTCCCTCTCTTGGATTCCCTCCATCCTCCTTACCATTCCTCAGCATCCTGTGTTGGCACTTCCTCCTCTCCTGATTTCTTAATGCTGTAGCACCTCAGGGCTCAGGCCATGGACTTTGCTTTGCTTATTCTCTATCCCTTGGGGACTTGTCTCTCATGGCTTTAAATATCACCTATAAAAGAAAAACTCCTAAATTTATCTCTCCAGTTTAGACATCTCCCCTGAACTCCTGACTCACATATCCAACTACATTTTCAACCTCTTTTCTTGAATGTCAAATAGGCACCTCAAATTTATCATGCCCAAAACTGAGCCTCCTCTCCTGCCCAGCCCTCTCTGCTCCACCTGTGCTCTAGACCATCCAGCTAAGGGCATCTTTCCCATCGCTCATGCTCAAGCCTTGCAGTCGTCATTGACTGCCCTCTCTCATAGCTCACATTGATCCATCAGTAAATCAATCCTTTAATATCTGTGTTCAGCATATATCTAGAATCTGACTACTTTTCTCCACATTCACTTTGATGATCATCTCCCACTTGGATTAGCTTTCTAACTGGCCTTTAGGCTTTCACCCTTGTCTCTCTGCTATTCAATCTCAACACAGCCACAGTGGTCAATGCAAATCCTTTGAATTTACATGAGATCATGTCCTCCCCTTGCTCAAAACTCTCCAGTGGTATTTTATCTCACTGAGAGTAACACCATGGTTATTGCAATGACCAATAACACCTCACGTGATCTGGGTCTCTGCCACCCTCTGATTTTATCTTTTACCTTTCCTCGTAGTTACTCTACTCCAGCCACATTGGACTCCTTGTCATTCCATGAACAAGGTTAAAGTTTCTTGAAAATTTAGGTTTTTCTGCTAGCTGTTCCCCATGCCTACAGCACTCTTTTTCTCCCAGGTGTTTGTCTGTTTAGTCAGTACCTTTTTCGAGATTGTTGAAATGCCACTTTCTCAGTGGCAGCCTCCCCACCCTCATCCCAGAACTCACAGACCCTCTTAACTTGCTCTATGCCACCATAACGCTTACGTTACACTGTAATGATTACTATCTACTAGAATTACAAGTTTCTGGAGGACAGGAAATTCTTTTTCTTATTTTGTCCATAAGTATGTCCGATGCACTTAATACTTACTGGCTTGTAGCAGGTACTCAATAAATATTTGTTGAGAGCATGAATAATATAATTTAACTCTCACAACGCTATGAGGTAGGTTTTATCAACTTCCCTATGTTTCAAATTAAGAAACTGAGGCTCAGACCTGCCCCACATTCAAAGAGATACTAAGTGGTGGGGCTCAAATTCAAATGTATTAGTAGGCTGAATAAAACACTAAAAATGACTAATAGAGTCTGAACTTCATTAAAATATGAGCCTTTGATTGTAATAGACAGAAATTTTTCTCATAACCTTAAGAAAATATTGGTTATACAATACAAAACTTGTGAATAGTAATGATTTCTTCCAAGGAATAGGGAGGTGGTAAAAAACTTATTCCAGTGATTTGAAGTAGATGAGACCACTCAGTTTCCTCATATTACAAATTAATAAAATAATCTTAGTAAATTATACATGTCTTTTGCAGTGTTGCTGGTTAACAGGTATATTTGGGTAGAGAAATCTTCTCTTTTGAAACTGAAGGTTAAAAGGAGGTGTCACTTGTTAGAAGATATTGTCCTGGACTAATATACCTCTAAAATGTGAGGGCACATGTGAGGGCACATGTAGGACCAAATACTTAATATGAGCTCTATCCCCCTAGTGAAATACGACTCCTCTGACTGTCAGATATCCAGATATTTGAGGCAATGGAAAAGGAAAATTAACAGTAACAGTTAGAGATATATCAAACTTTGAAAGAGAATAGAGATGTACATTTTACCCAAAGGGCAGAGGGCAAACCAAGGTCCAGGGGTAGGAAAGTTCAGGGCTTTGTTCATGGAATGGGAAAAAGTATAATACAAAATGAGTTACAGAGAAAAATTGGGAAAAACTTGGAAGACAATGGCAGTGATGTTAAGCTGTTTCTATAGCAATGGGAAACCTTAAGGGTCTTAAAACATGTGATATGTGTGCCATTGTGTGTGTGTGTGAGTGTGTGTGATTATAATTGTAGGTATTTAAAAAAGAGGATGGGAGGCTAGACTATAAAATCTGTCAGCCTCCAAAATGACCTTGTTTATTTACTTATACATTCTGCACCTTAGTTCAAAAAAAGAATTTAAGAGATAGCTGGTCAATAGGCTGTTGCAGCCTCTGGGAATGAGAACGGCAAATGCTGAGATAGATTATAGGAAAGAAGACATAAACACTTAAAGCAAATGGGAACAGAAAGCAAGGAACTTAAAACATAGGCAATGGAAAGAAATGCAGCTAAAATCAATCGAGGTAAGTTAAGCATACACATATATGCACACACAAAAAGATACCACACCATTGCATTGCTAGAATGAAGGGCTTGATATATTATAAACTCTAACAATATGTATTGATGGTCCTGGTACATGCAGACTTCCACCAACTGGGTGATTACAGTCTATACTTGTCATTGCACATGCTGAATGGCTCCTGGGGGGCTGTTATAGTATGTGGTGGCTGTGATGGAGCATGCAGGCTGATAAACTCTGGGCTACCACAGTGTACATAGACTGTTAGAATACAAGCAGGATGCCACATGCTGAGCTGTCACATTGCATTCTGGTCTGCTAAGATGTTTAACATCCACTGGACTGTCGTGGTGCATGTAGAATGTCACAGAATGCTCCCCCACTCAACCCCCTGCTCCTGTAAAATGGCTACTATGGTTCATGCAAGGCTCTCATGGTATATACTGAACTTTCAAAGCACATGCAGAATATATATATATATATATATATATATATATATATATATATATATTATATATATTATATTATGTATATATAATATATAATATATTACTACATATAGGAGTCTGTCATGGTGTGTGAGATTGACACCTGACACACACTGGTCCCCCACAGTGTAAAATGGCTGTCAAAGTGCAACAAGGCTGACATGTGCTGTGCTGTCATGTATTTAATTAGTTGTGCATGGAGATTGATACATGTGGCTGTCACAGCATAATGGACTGGCATGGCACATACACACTAACACACATTGGATTGATACGGTCCATTATGGTACCTGTAGACAAACATGTGCTGCTTTAATGTCACCTGGGTTGTCATGGTGTGAGCAGGCTGATACATCCTGGACAGTCATAGCGTTTATGGGCTTCAGGCATGTAGGCAACTGTCAGATAAGCTAGCCAAACAAATTTCCCATTTTATGTTCCAGTAATGTATGCCTCTAGCTCCTATAGTAAATGACCAAAGAAGTGCCAATAATATTGCATTATTAGTTAATAATAATAGTAGTTCAAGCTGAGTTATAAGGTGCATACTTATATTAAAAGTTCTTCCATTCCAAAGGAAGCACCCAAATAGTTGAGCAATAATATTTCTTTCCCTAATACATATAAAGAATATCTTTGGTTTTCATTTCTCCTTCAGTTACTTGATTTATATATTTTTTACTTATCTAGGCAGATGGCAATAAACATACTGTGTTTTCCCTAACAGATAATTTGGTTTCCTACATAGAGTATACTGTGTTTATACGAATACATCACAATATTTGTCTTTCACTTCTCACGGCTAAATATATTTGCAATATTTAAAGAAATGATTGATAATTTTGAAATGTTTTAATTTTCAAAATAAGATAAAATATATTTTATGTGTGTAGACTTTAGAGTGTAGGCTATGAGAAAATATATGCTAATGTATTATCACTTGGTTTGTATAACAAATAGAAGCTTTTATAATAATCAACATAATGCAATGGGACAAACAAAACAAATTATACTATCACATCTACTAAGGGTTCCGATAACCTGACCTCACATTTCTGTCAGCATGAACAATGGATGTGCTGAAATGTGCCTATGGCATTTATGCCTCTATTCTGGTGGTTAAAATGCAGGTTGTAAAAATAAGCACATCTAAGTAAAACCAGTCTAGTGAACGGTAATGAAGAGGAGACCAGAGTGCCCAGTGTGACCAAGTGCCATAAAAGAATTCACTCAAGGTGGTGGAGGTAAGCAAGCCCTGTGGAAAAAGCATACTTGGGACTGAATATGGAAGTTGATAATTTAAGATGATAGAAAATTCCACAGACTGTTTTATTCTTTTTTTTTTGGCATACATTTTCTATTTTCAAACAATCTCAAGTGTACAGAAAACTAGTGACTACAGCACAGAAACCTTCGAGAGTAAATTACTGACTTGACACCCATCAGCCCCTGAATACTTTGGTGTGTGTTTCCAACAAGTGAGGATATTTTCTTAATAACCATAATACAAATAACAAAATCAGGAAACTAATGTGGTACATCAGTATCATCTAGGCCTCAGATCCCATTTAAGTTTTCCTAAATGCCCTTTCTAGCAGAAGGATTCAGCTTAGAATTATGTGTTACCTTTTTAGGTATCATGTCTCCTTAGTCTCCTTTAACCTGGAACAGTGCCAAGTCCTTGACGTTCGTGACTTTTAAAGATGATAGGTTGTGGCCAGCCATGGTGGCTCACGCCTGTAATCCTAACACTTTGGGAGGCCAAGGTGGGTGGATCGCTTGTACCCAGGAGTTCGACACCAGCCTGGGCAACATGGTGAAACCCCGTCTCTACGAAAAAATATGAAAATTAGCTGGGTGTGGTGGCACATGTCTGTAATCCCAGCTTCTGGGGAGGATCACCTGAGCTAGGGAAGACAAGGCTGCAGTGAGCCATGATCGTGCTACTGCACTCCAGCCTGAGTGAGAGTGAAACCCTGTCTGAAAGAAAAAAACAAAAAAGATTGCAGGTTGTCGTTTTGCATTAGGTCTCTCCATGTTGGTATATCTGATATTTCCTCATGGCCAGGCTCAGGTTATGCAATTTGACAGATGTATTACAGAATAATGTCGTGTCCTTGTCATTGCATCCTATCAGGTGACCCAAGATTTTAATTTGTCTCATTACTACTAATATTTACTTAAATCATTTATTTAAGATATTTTATGCTACACTTCTTTAATAGGAGGTTACATTTTTTTCCTTTGAAATCAGTAACTTTTGTGAAACGGTTCTTTGAAACTACGTAAATACCTCATTGCTCATCAAACTTTCTTTTTATATCAGAATGATCTATGGTTTCCTACGTTATTCAGTGGATTATAATACATTACTCTCATGATTTATTTTGATGCTTAAATCTGATGGCCTTCAAGGTAGTTTCTGCATCCCTTTAACATCTCATCATTTGGGGGGCACTTCTTTCCTTTCTGGTATTAAGAAGCCAAGATACAGGTACTACATGTTCTCACTGCTATTGAAGTGAGGCCTCCAAACCCCTCAGTCAACAGAGTTATATACATGTATCCACACACATCTACATTTTCAAAATCCATCTACATTTGTAGAAGTCCATAATTTCACACCAATATGTCAAAAATCCAGTCTAACACCATGGGTTCATCCTGGTTTTCTCCCTTTCCATATTTTGAACTCTTTTCTGTGAGAGTGAGAAGCCTTTTTTCTATTATCCTTACTATATTTTCTTATTTTATCAGCTCCGTGGTGTAATACATCTCCCATCCCTCTTTCTACCCTTCTCCCTATATGCATGCTCTCCTTGGTTGGTTCCAGAATCCCATGCCAGGGAGTCCCTCTGTGTGGATCGCCCTCCTGCCACTTGGTCTCTGACATTTCATACCAGGCTGCCCTTCCATGTCAACACACTTTACACCCTGCTGTGGAACTGACGCCCCATTCCATGCTGCTTCTCTACATAAACACTCTCCTTGCCTGACCCCACGTCTGGCATCCATGTCAGCAATCTCACTAATTTTTGATGAGTTACTGAGCCTATGTATTTGGGATATGTTTTGATCAGAGTGGTCGTAGCAAAGAAAATTTCACATTTTCTACATTTTCTGTGTTGGGAAGTGGCCGAGTAGGAGAATTTATGGTTGATTTATCAAGTCAGGCTGTTTGCAAATCCCCCCTCTAATCACCACATTCAATAATGAAATACCTATTGAGAATATACTGTGGGTCAGGCACTAGGGCTGCTCTTCACTCATAAAAGTAACTTTGAAATACAATCCTTTCTATTAGATGTCTGGTGGATAGTAAATGGCCAAATGATATTTATTGAACACATTAATTGGCAGGACTATTGAATCAATGCCTATCTCATAATGTGTGCTCTGTTCTAGGCTCCACGGCAGGCATGAAGAAAATACAACAAGTAAGACATATTTCCTACTCTCCAGGAGATAATTTAGAGGTGGAGATAAACATGTAAATAGCTATAATGCAATATTAAGAAAGTAATATGATAGAAGCCATGAAGAAATGTGAGAAAGGAAAAGTTTAATAACATTCTCTTGGAGAAAGTGGGGTTTCAGCTGACTATGCAAGGATTAGTTAAGCTTTTCAGGGATGGTAAAGGCAAAGGAAATTGTTCCAGACTAAGTCATAGCAGGAGCAAAGGTAAGGACAAGAAATCATGCAGGATATATTTGGAGGACTACACTGGGGAAAGTAGCAGGAGATAAGGAAAATAAGGATGAAATACAAACATTCAATTCCTAGAAGAAGGTTAGCTTAGCCATCAGATTAGTTTGGCATCAATTGACTAAAATTAACTGAGCAGATATGAAAACAAATGAACAAAAAAATTAAAGCTACCTCACTAAAAAAAGATTTATGAGTTAATGGGACTAATTGTGAGCCAAGAGCTTCATACTGAACCATTAATTATCTACTTGGCTTAAAGGAGGGTAAAAAATGAGGAGAATTATGACACCGGTTAAAACTTGTTATATTTGGTGGCAACTGTTAATATTAATTAGGATATTGCTAATAATATCCTATGGTTTTATCCTAAGTTGAAATAAAAACTTCTTTACATTTTCAGGAAAGTTAAAGAGGGCATGTAATATGTGACTCAAAACATCAATAAAGAGAGTAACAGACAAAAAAGACACTAAAACCCAGTAAGGAAAAGTGGGAGAGATCATGGCACATGTTGATTTGACTAGTTGATTCTACATTTTACTTGGCAGCATGTCCCATAACAAACACCCAATCTGTGTGGTTTAACACAACAAAAAACAATTTCTTCCTCACATAACAGTCTAATGCAAATATTCTTGGTAGGTGTTTATTATCTACCTTATTTAGGGCCACAGGTTCCGGCTGTCTTGTGGTTTCACCTTCCTCTGGGGCCTCGGAGTCCTCTGTATTTACCCAGAAGATAGAAAGCTAAAGGGTAGATGTGGTGTCCTTTGACACCACCTCTCCAATTCTCCAAAACTAACTGGGTGTCCAGCAATACAATTCAATTCTGACACTAACTATCCAGAGCTATGACAGATCCCATAGGTTAAGGGCTCAGTCTCACAAGACTGCCCCACTTCAGACTCAATAATAAGTTTCAGGTTGCCTCCTGTACTTCTGCCTGACTGGCTATAAATCAGGGGTTCCCAAAACCCACTCCTCAAGTTTAATAATTTACTAAATTTACTAGAATGACTCACAGAACTCACGGAAGTGCTTTGCTTACTATTCCCCATTTATTATAAAGGATACAGCCCAGGAACAGCCAAATGCAAGAGACGCGTAGGGCCAGGTATGGGAGGAGGTATGTGGAGCCTCCATGACCTCCTGTGCACACCACCCTCCAGTACCTCAATGTGTTCACCAACCCAGAAGGTCTCTGAACCCCATCATTTAGAATTTTTTATGGAGGTTTCATTACATAAACATGGTTGGTTAAATCACTGGGCATTGGTGATTGACTCAATCTCCCTCTCTCCTCCCCAGAGATCAGGGAGTGGGGTTGAAAGTTCTAATCTTTTAATCATGGCTTGGCCTTTCTGGCAACCAAATCCCATCCAGAAACTATGTATGGTCCCCACTCTCCCAGTTATCTCATTAGCATACAAAAGACATTTATCACTTACAAGACGCCAAAGGTTTTAAAAGCTGGTGTGCCAGGAACCCAGGACAAAGACCAAATGTATTTTTTCATCATAGCACAGTGGAAAAGGCTTGTCTGCCTGCTAACCACTTCATCCTGGAAATGACACATGATTCAGCTCACATTCCCCTGGTGAGAACTTGTTGTGTGTCCACACATAACTGCAATGGGGGCTGGGCAGCATAGCGTAAGTGTGTGCTCAGACAAGAGAGGAAATCCGTTTGGAGAACAGTTTGAAATTTCTGCCACAGCACTGTGAAACAATGTCTCCGAATTAAGGTTGCCCAGTGTACTGGTTGCTACAATCCTTGTATCCCGTCTCTTGACAATAACTGAAGGACTATACAAAGATTATAAGCTAAGACAAATGATTCTCTAGTTCAGTTTATTATGCCGCAATTGAAATAGTGTCCAGGTATCCATAGGTGAAAATCAAGGAGAATTACTCCATGCCAACTCTTCAGTAAATAAAAGATCCCATACAACAGATCCTTAGCCTGCTGCCTAACAGTTTTGCAAGATTTGTGCTGCATCTCCATAAACGATGCTCCACAGAGTTGTACAGTACATAACCTGTGCAGCTACAGGTAGCAGCCCTGCTCCCCTATTATAGATTAATGAGAACCAGAAAGGAGAGAATATGAAACATATTCATAGAAACTACAAAAAAGAAAATCTTGAAATCAAAACCTCTGCATTCCAGATAAATTAGAGGACATATAGTCTTCAAATCAAAACATCATTGAAGAGATTAAAAGATCAAAATGAACTAAAAATCAATAAGAAGATTGACTGCCAGCTGATTATTTTACTTGAAAGTGTACATTTGGAATAATAATTGAGAATCTACTGTAAAGAATAATAAAAGAGTTGCCTAGCAGATGTTTAAAAATTGCCATTTTTAAAACTTACAAAAGTAAGGTGCCAGTGTAAAAATGAGGAATTATATCAATGGGAACAAAAGAAAGAGTCCAGAAACAGATCAAAGTACAAATATTATTTTAGAATTAAAGTGGTGACATTTAAAGTCTGTGAGGGAATGACTGATTATTAGAAAAATGACTTTTGAGTATTTGGCTCTCTATCTGGTGGAAGATGAATGTAAATCTCTATAGCATATAAAAATAAATTTCATATGGCTTGATAATCTAAAGGAAGAACTTAAAGTTGTGTAAATACTAGAAGAAACCAAAGAGCGATATTTTATTATCTTAGGGGATGGCATAAGAATGAGAAGTCATGAGGAAGATTGACTAATTTATATAAAAACTAAAATTTTCTCAGCTGCCTAAGAAATCATACAAAGTTACAAGAGAAATAGTTATAATAATAAGCAGTTTTCTAAGATAGATAATGGCTAGGTGCTTTACGTGCAACACAATTCTTACAATTACTCCGTTATGGGGGAAACTACTATTATCTGTACTTTACACTTGTGAAAACTGAGGTTTTGAGGGGGTTAAATAACTTCACCAATGTTACCCAGCTAGTAAGTGACAAAGCTAAGTCTTATAATCAAACGTTGATTCCAAAACCTATATACTTAACCTGTACACTGCATTGCCTCCTTAACATACAAAAAACTAGAATAATATTTGCATCATAAAAGATTTATTCAGTAATATCTATAATGCATACAGAATTCTTGCCATGATTTGGAAAGGGACAAACTAACTCGATAGAACCAGTAGGTAAAAGATATAAACAGAAAATTAATAAAAGAAATATTCATGACCACTACTCATTTGAAGAAGTCAAACTGGCAAGTAACTGAAGAAATGCAAATGAAATTAAAATAAAAAATAGGTGGGTTTTTAAAATACATATTACTTGGTAATGGTGTGGAGAGTTAGGCATTATTATTTGCCACTGGTATATATGCAGAGAACACTTTGGAAATATTGACCATCATTTTACATAGGTATATTTATGGCCCAAATTTTCAGTGTTAGAAATGTAGCATAGAGAAACACAAGATTTTAAAATATTTATGTGCAATATTTTCAGTGCAGCATTATTTATAATAATGAAAAACTAGATATAATCTAAATGTCCATTATTAGAAGACAATTACATAAAAGTTTCTATACACATAAAATAGAAAATCTACAGCTCTTAAAGTCAAATGAAAGCCAAATGTCTTATGTTGTCTATAGTACGCTGCTAAAACAAGTGACACTACACCCAGCAGACTGCTAAAATGAGAGACAGAAAATATCAAGTTTATGCAGAATGTGGAGGACGAAAAGTACCTCTCAAACACTGGCTGGTAGGGGTGTATTAGTCAGGGTTCTCCAGAGAAAAAGGATCAATAGAATGTGTATGTGTAAGAAGAGGTTTAAGAAATTTCGCTCGTACAGTTGTGGAGGCTGGCAAGTCCAAATTCTGCAGAGTAAGCTGGCAGGCTGGGGACTCAGAGAAGAGTATGAAGTCTGTCTGCTGACAGAATTCTCACTTCCTCCAGGCAGGTAGGGCCTTCAACTGATTATATGAGGCCCACCCACATTGTGAAGAATAATCTACTTTACTCAAAGTCCTGATTTAAATGTCAATCTCATCTAAAATATAACTTCACAGAAACACCGAGAGTAATATTTGATGAAATATCTAGGTACCCTGCCATAGCAAAGTTGACACATAAAATTAACCATTACAAGGAGTATAAATGGTGTTTGGAAAATGTCTTTGAAATGTAGACCAAAGCTGAATATTATAAAAGTCCACGACTGAGTAATCTCATCCTTTGTCTTATAGTCAACAGAAATGCACATGCATGATTCCCAAAAGATATGCACAAGAATGTTCACATCAGCACTATACATGAGAACTCCAAACTGAAAACTACTTCAAAGCCTTCTAAAGTGCACTGGAGAAATACATTGAGGTGTAGTCACACAATGGAATACCAGACATCAATGAGAATAAACAATTTACAACTACAGGTAGCAACACACAGATGCATCTCAGATACATGACATTGAGTAAAAGAAGCCAGACACAAAAGCAGAATACTTTATTATTGCTGAAGTTGTGATTATTACATTCATTTAAAACATAAAACTAGCCAAACTAATCACTCCCTCTAGAAATCTGCAGTCAAAGCAGTGACTGCAAAGCGGTACAGGGAGATTTTCTGGGGTGCTGGTAGTGTCCTGGGTTATTTTTGTTGTGGTGGTTGTTTTCATCTTGGAACTGGGTACCCAAGTGTGTTCATTTTGTGAAAACTCATTGAGATGTACTATTGTAGTATGTGCATTTTTATAGATGTGAGCAATGCTTTCATAAAATATTTTTAAAGTAGAAGAATAATATATATTTCTAAATAGTAATATATCTCTATATCCATCCACGTTAGTGAAAGGGTAGACAAGAATCTGAAGGGCTTAAGATTAGAAATCAGTCTGGGTGCGGTGGCTCACGCCTGTAATCCCAGCACTTTAGGAGGCTGAGGCAGGTGGATCACCTGAGGTTAGGAGTTCGAGACCAGCCTGACCAATATCATGAAACCCTGTTTCTACCAAAAAGGCAAAAATTAGCCAGGCATGCTGCTGCATGCCTGTAGTCCCAGTTACTCCGGAGGCTGAGACAGGAGAATTGCTTGAACCCGGGAGGTGGAGGCTGCAGTGAGCAGAGATTGCATCACTGCATTCCAGCCTGGGCAACACAGTGAGACTCTGTCTCAAAAAAAAAAAAAAATTGGAAATCAAATTAACAATGCTTATCTCTGGAGACAGGTGTTGGAAGTCAGTGAGAGGAGCACTTAGATTTTCACCTTTTACTTTTGATATTTCTGTATCATCTGATTTTCTTAAACATGAAATGCACATTTTTAAAATTACTTTTCTTGGGGTGAGGGAGAGAGTGGATAGCCTTTCAAGCATCTCTGTATTTATAAATAGACATAAAACCTATTATTACAATTTTACAAAGCCTATATTCTGAAACCTTCATTTTTTATTCAACAAGATCTTTCCAGTAAATAAATATAGTGTCCATTTTTAAGAGCTGTATGAAATTCCTACATCATAATTTACTAGTCTATTATTGATGGACACAAAGGTTGTTTCATGTTTTCAATACTGTAAATAGGCAGTAATGTGTATACATCTCCTTAGGGTAAATTCCCAGAAGTGTGTTGCATAATTAAGTATTTTACAGTGTAATAGATACTGCTGTGCTACTTTCCTAAGGTGATATGACTGTTTTATTCTTTCAACGATACTGCATGGGAAGACTTGCTGCCCCTCACAAAGTATGTCAATAATTTTCATCTTTGCCATCTTGATAGGGGGAAAAAGACTATTCATATTTTACTAGCATTTCTTTGATTATTCCTGACGCTGCACATTTTTCAGATGTTTTTGTGTTTCTTTGGTGGATTGCCTCAGAGTATTTTGCCCATTTTTCAATTAAAACATTAAATATTTTCCCTATTGATTTTTAAGAGCTCACTATTTATCTAGGATATTAATTCTTTGTCTCATTTTACTGCAAATAATTTTCCAATTAGCCTTCTACCTTTCAACCTTTTATTGTGTTTATTTTTACACAGAAGTTTCATTTTTTTAAGTGGTCGATTTTACCAGTCTTTCCTATTAAATTTTTGATGCCTGAGACAAACTTAGAAAGGTCTTCCCCAACCGAAGACTATAAAAATATTCATTAATGTGTTAGTATTTTATGGTTTCAGCAATAATTTATTTCAGTATAGTAAGTGAGGGAGAAATCTGGATCTACTTTTTTTCAAATGGCTAGCTAATTGTCTTAATTTCATTTACTAATCTTTGTTTTTCGTACCAACTTAAAACACTATATTTATGAGACACAAACCCCCTATATACATTTAGTTCTAAGTCCAGAGTTGTATTCTTTCTATTGTTCTTTATTTACACCCATTTTATATATATATAAAAAAACTGATTTCACTTCATAAGGCATTTTACTATCTGCTAGGGCAAGCCAATCTCCTGCCTTTTTTCTCAGCATTTTTGATATTTTCACTTGTATGTTTTTAGAATTGTTTTGTAAAGTTGAAAAGAAATTCCATATATTCAATGGAACTGCATTGAATATATAAACACACATAGAATATTGATATATTTATGGTTTGAAGTCTTTCTATCCTAAAACAATACAGGCCTATTTATTTACAATGTTTGGTAATGTTTTATAATTTTATAAAGTTCATTATTCATGTTACAAATAACTGGATATTTTCCAGTTGTTATAGTAAACTATGCCATTTCTATTATATTTTCCAATTGGTTCTTATTGGTACATGTAAGATATATTGATTTGAGTACATTAATTTTATAACCAGTCATCTCACTCTTTTTTCATTATTTATTAGTTTTATTAAGTTTTGTTGGTTTTCTTGGATTTTCTAGGTATATATTTACATATATCTTATTTCACTATCTTGTACAATAACACTAGCAATTGTATCATGTTAATGTACAATAGAAAATAACAAGAGTCACAACTGACATGCATGTCTTACTCCTAATTTTAATGAGAATGTTCTAGTGTTGTTATTAACATTGACATTTGGTTTAAATTTGGATGTATGTAGATTTCCATATGTTCAAACAAGGACGTATCTTTCCACTTATATGAAACTAATAATTAATTACTTAATAATTAATATCTTAATATCAGGGAGAGAAAAGCTTTATTGAACATGATACAAAATTAAAAACTCAAAGGTAATTAAAAATGACACATTAAAATAAAAAACATATTTGAGACAAAAGAAACCATTAACAAAGGTAAAAGACCACATATTTGGAGGAGATATTAGCAATCCATAAATACTTAAATAATTTATATTTAATGGGTAAAAATAATTTGTAGAAGAAAGTTGAATGGTTAATACACATTTTAAAGATGCTCAACCTCAGAATAATCAGGGAAATGCAAATAAAAAATTTAAATTTCACACCCATCTGATTGTCAAAACTTATAATTGATAATACCAAGCTTTAATGTAGACAGAACAAAAAACTTGTGTCCTCCTCGTGGGAGTATAAATTGTCATGGCCACTTTGGAGTGTCACTTGGTTCCATATCACTAAGTTGAAGAAGTTTACCCTCTACCATTTTAAGGTATTTATCCTGGAGAAACTCTAGCACATGTGCACAAGAAAACATATGTCAGATATTTATTGCAGAACTGTAAAACAAAACATAATAAGTAATCTAAATGTCTATTAACAGGAGAATGTATGAAATCAACAACCAAACTAACATTTTCAAACAATGGGCTTTCAATGAATAATCTAGATCTGCATGTATTAATTCAGTTTAATTTTCAAATAATCAAATCGAATAAAAATAAAGCAAGTTGCTAAATAAGTAGATCTCATTAGTATACAATGTTAAAATGTTCAAAAAATATGATATGTCTGATGGATACAAACATATATGGAAAAGGAAGGATCCTATACTCATGAAGGATCTAAAACACACCAAAAAAATGTGGCTTAAACTTATTCAGAGTTTACTTTTCTCTTGCCATAGGAAGTCCCAGGTTGGTTGAGTGTCTCCTCAAGGACATCAAGGTCCCAACTCTTGTGCTCTTTCTATCTATTTACTCAGCCACAGTAACTCATGGGACAAGACGATTGCTCCAGATCTGGACATCCCAGACAGGAAGAAGGACAAGGGTAAAGGACAAAAAGTTGTGTTCTAATGGAAACTGGCAACCTTTAGTTTTCTTAGGAGTTTCACTCAGCAAAGTCTACTTACATTTCACTGACTAGAACAGAATTACATAGTTAATTCTATCTGCAAGGAAGTCGGGGAAATGTCATATGGTTGGGCACATCACTATCCCCAATGAAACTGCCTTCTGTTTACAAGGAAGAAGTAGAGATGGCTTTGGAAGTAGCAGCCTGTCGCGTAGATACATGGCAATTCCAGGATGGCAGTTCCCCTGGGGAGGGAAGGAGGGAAGGAGGTGGCACTGGCGGTAGTTGTACTCAGGATGCTTTAGAGGCATCTGTAATGTTTTACTTTATTCAAAGAGTATGATCAGGCATAAATATGGCAAACTGATAGCATTAGTTAAATTTTTGTTATACCATTACCTTTAAAATTAAGATTTGAAATAAATCTTAATTGTAAAAATTTAATGGGAAAACCGGTCATATGCGAAAGGTTGGAGAGGTATGGAGTACTATTTTAGAGGGTTTGGCCAGGGAAGATATTTTCAAGAAAAGGATGTTTAGACAGAAACAAGAATGATACAAAGAAGCCTACCATGCAAAAGCCCTGGAGGAAGGGTGTGACAGGCACATGAGTAGCAGCTAGAAACACCTTCAAGTAGAATGATCTCTGTTGGAGAAGCAGCTGGAAGGCCACTGGAGTAGACACTGTGGTGCACTGCCTAGACTCCCCTCAGGCCTAGACTCTCCTTCTCCAGCCCATGGGAGTTCTGCTCTCTGGGAGCTCACAGTTGTGCTTCCTGTATTGCTATACATCCTTTCTCAGATGTGTGTCTCAGATATCTTCTTTCCAGTTCAAAGCTTGTCTCTTTTTTTTTTTTTTTTTTGACATCAATTTTACATTTATGTAGTCAAGTTTATCAATATTTTCTTTTAAGGGTTATGCTTTTTGAGGTAGCAGAGTGCAGTTAAGAGAATACACTTTAAAGTTAGATTACCTGAGTTTGTATTCTAGCTCCACCACTCATCTTTAAAATAAAGTTAATAAGAATACTCAAATTTCAGTACTCTATTCTTCTTTTAGTGAAGAGCCTATTAATGAGGAATAGTATTATATTGTTCTTTTAATGAAGATTTACTGAGCTAGTATTTATAAAACAAATCGAATAGTGCCAGGCATATAGAAAGTACTCCATAACTCTTCGTTTAAAAAATGGTATAAACTTTAAGAATCTTTTCTTATTCCATGATCATAAAGCTATTCTTCTAGATTTTCTTCCAAGAGTAATTTTTTATATTGTTTTTAATCCATATGTAATTTATTTTTGAATCTTTTGTATAAGGTAAGACTCTTCCTCCTTTATCACATGGAAGTCAGCTATAGCAATAAATGGATGATGTATATAAAAATAATCTTCTCCCATAAAAAGTAATCTTCTCCCTACTGATTTATTGTACTACTTCTGCTCTGCACCATAGGCCTGGATCTCTGCCATGCTGGTGTACAATCAGCTTGATGAACACCTGGTGGGCATTTCATAGGGAGGATTTAAACACTAATGGGATATTGCACTTGATAACTTTCAGGTTCTCTTGAATGCTGACAATTAGGTGTTGGCGTTTTGTCTGGATTTGAAAAAGAGAATCAAAAGGCAAATGACAAACATATTATCTGTCACCTCTCAGATTTTTTTTAGCAACAAATAAACTGAGTTTAGCAGTATTCACTAGATGATGCTTATTTCAGGCTTTTAGTAGCAAGTTGGAAGCATTACCATTAGCCCTCAGGGGATAGCTATAGGTCTGTGGCTTAGCACTTGCTGGAGGGCACATCTGCCTTGACACAGGACATGATGGAGAAAACCTGCTGATGTTATTACACATCTGAGTCAACACCCATTTTTCTGCTTGGAATTTTAAAGATTTAGACATTGCAATGATTTCATTTTTGGTGATTCTAACCTAGTTTTATTTTTAAGAAGAGTTTTTGCACTAACATGTCAGTACTTTTCACTTGGTAAACTATACTATGGATTATCAATCATTCACCACTATTTTTTCACTTTGATGCCTAATGGTGCAATATGTTTGTTTTTCTGGGTTCTCATATAGAACTAAAAGGCCAAGAATAAATCTGTCACTATTTTCATGTAGACTGCATTATCTAAAAACACATTCAGCTAACTTTTTGATGGTGTGTACAAGTAATTTAGCATCCATGAAAATACCCTGAAATATGATATTTTTCTGTTTTAATTACTTATATATCATACAAGAAAAAAGCCTTAATTATTATAACCCTCTCATGGCCCTGATAATACAGATTTTCTAGACTTTTATATCTTGGAAGATATAAAGATATATTTATATGCTCTCTATATTACTTTTGTCGGTTGCCTATGTGGTAATATTTTCTCCCAGATTGTGTCTTTGAACTTTGTGCAAAAGAGTAGTGGGTCCTAGATTTTTGAGCTCTTAATCTAGTCAACATATGAGCCCCTCTTTAAGAAAAATGATACAAAGTTAAAATTCAAAAGTTTTTATTAAAATCAGTATTTATTTAGAATGAGAAAATAAATCACATATTACAAAGTTTACAAAGCTGACAATATCCACAAATATTACGATTCTCAAAAGAATAATACAATCTTTTTTTAAAAACTTGAACTTTTATTTTAGATACAGGGCTACATGTGAATATTTGTTACTTGGGAGTATTGTGTGATGCTGAGGTTTGGAATACAGATCCCACCACCCTGGTGGTAAGTATAGTGCCTGATAGGTAGTTTTTTAACCCACCTCTCTCCCCCTCCTCCAGTAGTTCACAGTGTCTGTTGTTCCCATATTTATGTCCATATGTGCTCAATTCTTAGCTCCCACTTATAAGTGAAAACATATGGTATTTATTTTTTTGCAATCTTTTTATTATCAGCCTGACATCCATCTTTAATTATTTTTTACACGTTTTTCCTGAATGCTTTTTGATTGTTTCTTCAGATGATAATGACTTTTTTACTATCATTTTTGATAGAGGAGATAGCACAGTCTTTCCTTTAGTATGGTTTTCAAATTTATTTTTTATTAATTATAGTTTACGGTTCTGAAATTATGAAGTTTCTGCCTGCTTTCTTTCTGTCAAATTACATTGTTTGGCTCCTCCTAGGATACTTCCTTCCCATTTATAATTGAGTTTTTGAATGATCAACTATTCTAAAAAAAATTATACCTAATCATTCTGAAATTAAGACACACACAAAGTCAATTTAAATTATTTTTAAATTAGTTTTGTGCTGTGTTGAGCTACTTAGTTGTATAAAAAGATTATTTTTTATCCTGATGACATTGACTCATTGAGGAATACTTGTAGGAGTTTAATCATGCGAACACATGTTTCTTTAGGCCATTTCACATGATGGTTGCAATTGTGTGTCATATTACTTGATTCTACCAGATGACAAGATCCATCAGATTCACTAAGATGAAATCTGATAGATTGGGAAGTTAAAAAGACAACTTCTTACATAGCTGTATTCATTATTTGTGATTCTGCCACAGGTTTGTGCCTTACAAATATAATAACTCAATAAATTTTATTTCATGCAGTTCTAATTTATAAAAAATAAATAAACGTGACTGCGAAAGGCCTAGTTGCTGACAGCAGAAGACAAAAGCAGGTAGCCCAGCAGGGACTGCAATAAGAAAACCCCAGTCAGACTTTTTCCCAAGGGTGGGAGGAGTGGTGTCTGAAAAGTCCCATGAGAGCAAGTCTCAGCTTCAGACACCTGCTACATCTCTAAGCACTCACATCAACTGTAACTTTGCTGGTCAAGTTAAGAGTTTTAAGCTTTATCTGTTCCCACTCCTCTCTTTCTCCTCAATACTCTCTGGAAAGGCCACAAATATTATTTCATAATCCAGAGGAGAAGGAGAGAAGGAAGAGAGGAACCAAACATGCCCCTACAGCAACGCAGACTTCCACATCTGAAACAAAGCTCAACTTGGGAATGAGGAAAGCTTTACATTTAATGAGAGTTCACAGTTTTACAGTGTATAGAATTGGAATTTTTTTTAGGAAACCAAAGCAAATAAGTATATTGATTTAGTAATCAACTTCTAAAATTCAAATCAATATTTCTAACCATACAAAAATACACATACATAAAAATTATATGTAAGGGTTCTCAAAAGAGCTAGGGAATTTCTTAATAAATAAATATCAAATATTCTTTGGCAATAAACAACATGGTCCATTTAGACTGCTGCTGAGTATGTAATTTTTTTTTACTTTAAGTTCTGGGATACATGTGCAGAATGTACAGGTTTGTTACATGGGTATACATGTGCCATGGTGGATGGCTGCACCTATCAACTTGTCACCTAGGTTTTAAGCCTCACATGCGTTAGTTATTTGTCCTAATGCTCTCCCTCCCCTTGCCCTCGACCCCCTGACAGGCCCCAGTGTGTGATGTTCCCCTCCCTGTGTCCATGTGTTCAACTCCCACTTATGAGTGAGAACATGCAGTGTTGAGTTTTCTGTTCCTGTGTTAGTTTGCTGAGAATGATGGCTTCCAGCTTCACCCATGTCCCTGCAAATGGCATGCACTTATTCTATTTTATGGCTGCACAGTATTCCATGATGTATATGTGCCACATTTTCTTTATCCATTCTGTCATTGATGAGCATTTGGGTTGGTTCCAAGTCTTTGCTATTGTAAATAGTGCTGCAATAAACATATGTGTACATGTGTCTTTATAGTAGAATGATCTATAATCCTTTGGGTATATACCCAGTAATGGGATTGCTGGGTCAAATGGTATTTCTAGTTCTAGATCCTTGAGGAATCGCCACACTGTCCCCCACAATGGTTGAACAAATTTACACTCCCATCAACACTGTAAACGTGTTCCTATTTTTCCACAGCCTCATCAGCATCTGTTGTTAGCCCATATCCAAGTCCAGTAATCTCAGATATTCTCATATGGTACCTCTTTTCTTTGGGGTCTGAAAAATTGAAAAAAAAAAGGAATGTAGGAAAGTAATAATATTACTGAACCTCATCTTGAAGGCAACTGCCGTAAAAAGTCAACATAAAAACAAAATAATTTTAAAGTGTAAAATAATAGTAAGAAATGCAAGTCAAAATCACAATGAGATATCATCCTACACCTGCTGCAATGGCTATTATCAAAAAGATATGAAATAACAAGTGTTAGTGAGGATGTGGAGAAATGGGAACTCTTGTACTATTGGTAGAAAAGTAGACTGGTGCAGCCATAATAGAAAACAGTATGTGCATTCCTCCAAAACTTAAAGATAGACCTACCATATGACCCAGCAATCCCTCCTCTGGCCATAAACTCCCCCAAAATGAAATCAGCACATTATAGCGATATCTGCACTCCCATGTTCATTGCAGCATTATTTACAATAGCCAGGACATGGAAGCAACCTAAATATCCACAACAGAGGAAAGGATAAAGAAAATGTAGACTAGGCCGGGCACAGTGGCTCACGCTTGTAATCCCAGCACTTTGGGAGGCCGAGGTGGGCAGATCACTGGAGGTCAGGAGTTTGAGACCAGCCTGGACAACATGATGAAACCTCATTTCAACTGAAAAAAAAAATACAAAAATTAACCGGGCGTGGTGGTGTGCACCTGTAGTCCCAGCTACTCGGGAGAGTGAGGCAGGAGATTCTCTTGAACCCAGGCGACAGAGGTTGTGGTGAGCCGAGATCGCACCACTGCACTCCAGCCTGGGCAACAGAGGGAGACTGCTTCTCAATTAAAAAAAAAAATGTAGAGTACAATGGAATATTATTCAGCCTTTAAAAAGAAGGAAATCCTCCATTTGCAACAACATGGATGAACCTGGAGGACATTATGGTAAGTACAATAAGCCAGACACAGAAACAAAATGTGGAATCTTAAAAAAAATTGTATACATAGCAACAGAATAGAGGAGGAGTTGCCAGGGTGTGGGGATGGGGGCAGGGAACAGGAGATGTAGGTCAAAAGGTACAAAGTTACAGTTGCATAGAATGATTAAATCTAGAGATCTAATGTACAGCATGAGGACTATAGTTAATAATTTGTTATTAGTACACTGAAAATTTGCTAGAGAGTAGATTTTAAGTGTCCTTACCATACTAAAAAAGGTAACTAAATGAGACCATGGATATGTTCAGTTTGATTGACTGGAGTAATCATTTCACTACATATAGGTATATGGAAACATCACATTGGACACTTTAAATATATACAATCAAAAAGAAATAATTTTAAAATCCTAGCACAAACACTTTACACTTAGCTTTTCTGGTGGGTATCTGATTAGCTTTCTAATAATTATACTGCATGTGTATTTTGATGAATTTTTGAAATTTTAGGAGATTTAAGAAGCCCCGATTTATTCAAAAGATCCCAATTAAAGGTTAAGAAGTGTTTGATTAAGTTTGCAATCAACATTTAAATGTTTTAAGAAATTTAATCCGTTTAGTGCATAAATTTATTAGTTTGTGTACATGCTCTGTAAGTATTCAATGAAATGTTATTAATATTTAAATAAATTCTAGATTCATATGATTAATAAATTGGAAAATAAACTAGTTATAAATAATAGTGTTTATTCTTCTTTCTGCATAAAAGTTTTTTGGACAAAAAGTAATCTCACTGTGATAATAAGTCACATATTTGCCCTAGTCATTTTTTGCAACATGGTTTGTCTATTTGGGGCCCTTAATTTCTCCATAAGGATTTTAGAATTAGCTTAGTAAGTTGTGTAAAAGTACTCTTCAGTTATTTTTAATGAAATTGCATTCAATTCACTGATTAATTTAGAGTGAATTTTTCTCTTTATGAAAACATACACAATTTCTTTTGTTCTTATATCAAATTAAATGCTTCTGTCTTATATTCAATGATGCTGATGAAAAATCCAATATAAGTTTTATTCTCATTCATTTGTATATTACCCAGATAATAGGCTCTTATCATACATATGATTTGCAATTATTGTCTCCCACTTTGTGGGCTGTCATTTCACTTTTTCATATTGTCCTTTGAAACATAAAAAGTTTTTAATTTCAATTTGTCTATTTTGGTTTTGATTGCTTGTGCATTTGGTGTCCTAAGAAAACACTGTCTAATTCAAGGTACCAAAAATTTACTGCTGTTTTCTTCTAAGTGTTTTACCAATTTAGTGCTTACATGTAGGTCTTTAATTGATTTTGAGGATTTTTTCTCTCTCTTTTTTTTTTTTTTTTGTATATGGTATGAGGCAGGGATCCAGATTCATCCTGTTGCAGTGTCTATCCAGTTGTCTAAGCGCCTTTGTTGAAAATACTATTTTTCCCCATTGAATGGTTTTGATACCCTTCTTGAAAATAAATTGACTATAGATATATGGTTTTATATCTGTACTTTCAATTCTATTCTATTAATTTACATTTTTATTGTACACCAGTGGCACACAATCTTATGTTACATAGTTTTCAGTGTAAAAGTCTTACACTTGGTTTGTTATATTTTATTCCTAAGTATTTTTTCTTTTTTGATGCTATTATAAATGAAATCAGATTGTTTATTACTAGTTTATAGAAATATAAATTTTTGTATATTGTATCTTACAACCTTGCTCAACTTGTTTATTAGCGCTAATAGTTTTCTATGTGTGTGAGTTCTTCAGGAATTTTTATATACCAGATCATACCATCTGTGAATAGAGATAGTTTTATTTCCTTTTCAATCTGCATGGCTTTTACTTCTTTTTCTTGCCAAATTGCTCTGGCTAGATCCTTGAGCACAAGGTTGATTAGAAATGGTTAAATTTTTTTTCTTTCTTTTTTTTTTTTTTTTTTTTTTTTTTTGAGATGGTCTAACTCTATCGCTCAGGCTGGAGAGCAATGGCACAATCTTCAACTGCTCACTGCAACCTCTACCTCCCAGATTTAAGCAATTTTCCTGCATCAGCCTCCCGAGTAGCTGGGACTACAGGCATGCACTACCACGCCCTGCTAATTTCTGTATTTTTAGTAGAGATGGAGTTTCACCATGTTGTCCAGGCTGGTCTCGAACTTCTGACCTCAGGTGATCTGCCCGCCTCAGCCTCCCAAAGTGCTGGGATTACAGGCATGAGCCACCATGCCTGGCCTATATAAATATACTTTTAAATCTCTCTATCTTTCTGAGCTGAGTTTTGGGTGAGCATCAAATTTATTTCTTCCAAATAATTCAATTCTTTCATCATCTGTGGTCAGTGTGGAGTTTATGTTATTGTTGTAGTAGCTTCTTAGTCAGCATACTCTGCATTCCCATGATACTTTAATTGTTCTTATAAAATCTTTGCCTGTTTTCATCACTGTTTATTTGCTATATAATTTATTTTTATAATGAAAATTTGTCTTCATTTACCTCTGAATACATTAAATACACTGATTTTATAACCGTCTACTGTAGAAACATATCATGTGTAATGAATTAATTTACTTGTTTTTGTGGGCTGTTTTCTTAACATTAAGTCTCTTCATGTTTTTTGAATTTTGGTTTACAAGCTCTATTTGATTGATAAGGATGTTTTTCTTGTTTTTATTTTCTTTTTTTCCTACATGCTTACCTCTTCATATTTAGTGGTTTTGCAAATGCATGCCCCTAATCCCCTGGTCTATTCCTGGTCCTATAATTATTAGTTTACTGCCTCACTGTGATACTGGGGATATGGAAGATTTGGTTATAGAACCCTTGGTAGCTTAGCTATGCTCCTGGTGTCCTGGCATTTTATGCCTTTAGGATCCAGGAGTGCAGACTCTGACAATGCACTTAAAATTATTTGTTTCTTATTCTTTCCCTCTAACCTTTTGTTCTACTAAAGAAAAGATGAAACCATTCCTATTTTGCCATTAGTCTTAATCAGTAGTTTATTATTCAATATTATTCCTTTATCTTCTGACATCTGTTGTTACTGAGAAGTCTGCTTCAAGAAAATTGTTGTTTCTTCATATGTAGTCTGTATTTTTGGCTATCTCTTTAACAATATTAAAGATTTTTATCTTCATCCTTGATGTTCTGCAGATTTACTCTGAAATGTCTAGATGTAGAGGATTATCAGTACTCTGTTTGGTTCTAGGAGTGCACTTTCAGTCTGAGGACCTGTATATTTATTTGATTCTGAAAACGTTACTTTTATCTCTTCACATATTTATGATCTTTCACTCTATCCATTAGATTGTTTTTGTTTGTTTGTTTGTTTTGTTTGGTTTGGTTTTGAGACAGAGTTTTACTCTTGTTACACAGGCTGGAGGGCAATGGCGCCATCGCAGCTCACTGCAACCTCCACTTCTCAGGTTCAAGTGATTCTCCTGCCTCAGCCTCCCGAGTCGCTGGGATTACAGGCACCTGCCACCATGCCCAGCTAATATTTTTTTGTATTTTTAGTATGGGGTTTTACCATGTTGGCCAGGCTGGTCTTGAACTCCTGATCTCAGGTAATCCACCTGCCTCAGCCTCCCAAAGTGCTGGGATTACAGGCGTGAGCCACCGTGCCTGGCCTATCCATTCGATTGCTTTTTTACTCTTACCAAATAACTATCCCTCAGGGCTTTTAGCCATCATTTCACAAGGTATATATTAAAGTTCTTTATTCAAATGTGATACATATATACACCGTGGAATACTACATAGCCATAAGAAAGAATGAAATCATGTACTTTGCAGCAATATGGTTGCAGCTGGAGGCCATTATCATAAGTGAATTAATGCAGGAACAGAAAATCAAATACCACAAGTTCTCAATAGTGGTAGCTAAACATTGGGTACTTATGGGCATAAAGATGGAGATGGTAACAATAGATACGAGGGACTACTAGAGATGGACAGGAGTTGAAAAACTATTGGGTATTCTGCTCAGTACCTAGGTGATGGAATCATCCATACGCCAAACCTCAGCATCATGCAATGTACCCATGTAACAAACCTGCACTGCACATGTACCTCTTCAAGCTAAAATAAAAGTTGAAAAAATTAATTTAAAAATTAAATTAACGGCCGGGCGCGGTGGCTCACGCCTGTAATCCCAGCACTTTGGGAGGCCGAGGCGGGCGGATCACGAGGTCAGGAGATCGAGACCATCCTGGCTAACACGGTGAAACCCCGTCTCTACTAAAAATACAAAAAATTAGCCGGGCGTGGTGGCGGGCGCCTGTAGTCCCAGCTACTCGGGAGGCTGAGGCAGGAGAATGGCGTGAACCCGGGAGGCGGAGCTTGCAGTGAGCCGAGATCGCGCCACTGCACTCCAGCCTGGGCGACAGAGCGAGACTCCGTCTCAAAAAAAAAAAAAAAAAAAAAAAAAATTAAATTAACATTTAAAAATAAGTAAAATTTTTAATCCTTTTTTATAACCATTGTTCAAAACCATTCACGTTGGCTCCACTTAATCATAAGAGGATTGAGATTGTAGGGAAACAAATAAAATTTTGGGAGAACACCATTGCACCTGCCATGGCTAATTAAGACTAAGGCCAATATATACCTGTACACTGACCTGCCTGTTCCACTTTTTCAAAATCATCATATCGAACTTTACATCTCAGGCTACCGGCTTCAACACCCATTTTGTGCTCTTCCCAGAGTGTAACCCTTGTGGGCTCATCATAGGCCAGGCCCTGAGTCAATTATTTGGTTGCACTGACTACATTTCACTACTCACATTTTCCCTGGTCTCCCTTCTCCTTCAAGGTCTGAGCAGCCATTTTCTTTCATTTTGTTGAAAATACCAGTGCCCAAGGCCTGTCAGTGGCCAAGGCTGGCTTCGGTATTTCTCTCTGCAACTCTAGCCGCCCACTCTGGCAAACAGAACTTTGCCTGCCCTCAAAACCCATAGTTTTCCACAAGGGCATATTAGGCCATTGCACCCTTGTCTATAGCCTCTAAGCTACACTGCGGCCTCAGTGAAAAGGACACTACATTTACTTTCAGAGGTGTTTTCATCCAGTCTTTGAATTTAACCATCATAATAAATGAGTGTTATAATAGCATCTATCATTTATCACTTGCCTAAATGTGATTATTTCTCTTCTAAGCACATTATACACATTCCTCACAAAGATTCTATAAAGCAAAATTATTTTCCCTATTTAACAGAGAAGGCTTAGAGAACTCTAAAACACAAACCATCTGTGGTGAAAACAAAAATCCCCCTCTTACTTTCTAGAGCAGCAGTTCTCAAAGTGTTGTCCAAGGAGCCTGGGTCAAAACGATTTTCATAATAACACCAAAACTTTAGTTTCCACTTTTACTCTAATTCCCTTAGTAGCGTAAAGTGGAGTACAAGAGATTGTATTTAGAAGCAGATATAAAAATCCAGTTATTTTTAGTTATCCACACATTAAAGAGAATGTAAAACTCCTCTCACAATTTTTTTTTGAAAAATATGGTTATTTTACTACATAAAGATGTTATTTATGTTAACATGTAATGGATTTATTGCTGCAATTTTAAATGAAATTGTACACTTATACACTGTTGGTGGGACTATAATTAGTACAGGCATTTTGGAAAACAGTATGGCAGTTCATCAAAAAACTAAAAACAGAACTACCATAGGATCCAACAGTCCCACTACTGGGTATATATTCAAAGGAAAGGAAATCAGTGTATTGAAGAGATATCTACACTCTCAGGTTTATCACAGCACAGTTCACAATAGCCACGATATGGAATCAACCTAAGTGTCCATCAACAGATGAATGGACAAAAGAAATGTGGAATATATACATAATGAAATACTAATTAGCCACGAAAAGAATGAAATTGTGTCATTTGTGGCAACATAAGTAAGCTTAAAGGACATTATGTTAAGTGAAATAAGCTAGGCACAGAAAGATAAATACGGCATGTTTTCACTCATATGTGAAAGCTAAAAAAAGATGATCTCATAAAAGTAGAGGGTAGAATAGCGGTTACTAGATGCTGGGAATGGGATAATAGCCAGAGGGTTGTTAACAAATCCAAAATATAGCTTGATAGGAGGAATAAGTTCTAGTGTTCTACAGCATTATAGGGTGACTATACTAAAAAAAATTTACTGTGTATTTTTAAATAGCTAGAAGAGCAGATTTTCAATGTTCTCACCACAGAAAAATGTGAAATATCTGAGGTTCTGGATATGTGAATTACCCTTATCTGATCATTACACATGGTATACATATATCAAAATATCACACTGTACCATATAAAAATGTACATATTATTATTATTGTGTCAATGAATAACAATAATTTTAAAACACCATAGATAAGTCTTTTTTAAAGACTGTTAGGTACTGTTACTCAGTTTTAAAATCTGATATAGTAAACCTCTATAGATATAACTCACATAAACAAAGCTCCTTGGGGTCCTCAATAATTTTTAAGGGTCTAAAGGAGTTAAAAACAAATTGAGGATCACTGTTCTAGAGTAACACCACTCTCCAGAGAAGAACATAATTGTAATTTCTCAGGTATGATCCTTTTTCTCCCATGCATATAAAGGCAGGTGTACACACACACACACACATTTATAGTTTTCCTCACAAATAGAAACACTATACAGCTGATTTTAAATATTTATATTTATTGTTACATATATTTGGTGTTTTATATGAATTCTTTAAGAAGTCCAGAGAAGTAAGCATGCAGTTAAGAACCACATAAAGGGGGAAGAGCAGAATCAGAGGCAGAGCAGTCACAGAAAGGTCCACATAAGAAGTGGTATCTTGAGCTTGTTGTATTTTATGACTTAAATTTTGAAAAGGATACTGTACATGCTAATACCTGAATGATTTTCATCTGGGTAGTCTATTATTTTATTTCATTAAATTTTTACTCACTTATTCTTTTGAAATTCATTTTTATGACATCTAAATTTAGCATGTGTTGGATTTAAATTACTGTTTTTTTTTGAATTATCATCCAGGTATCAAGTTGCTATTTAATGAATGGTTTTGCCTTTAGAATTCTTTTGTGATACTGATTACTTTATAATATAGCATTTAGAGTTCTATTCTGTTCCAGTGATCTCTTTATTCTATAGTAGACTCAGTAGCCCAGCATTTTAGCACTGCCCATGTTATAACACTGGTAGGACAGACCCCTGCACAGCTGCTTTGTAAGTTCTGTGATTATGTGACATCTTCATTATTCATATGAAATTGCGAAGCATTTTGCTGCTTTCTAAGATTAAAATCTTGTTGGAGTGTTAATCAGCATTGTATGTGACTTCTAAATTAGCTATTGGAAAATTATTATTGAATAGTTTGGCATCTGTAACACCTGTGGATGTAACTGCCAACTGCATATAAAAGAGGATTTGAATCAGCATTCATAGGAAACTCCAGGTTCTACCCACCCCACCATGCACGCCTGCCCTCCTCCTCTCCCTTCCCTTGCTTGCTTGAATTCTCTTCAAAGTAGAACTTTGGCTTTGAACTTTGTTCTCTTTTCTTTACTGCTTTATTATTATTATTGGTCACATTCTTTTGATAATTTCCCTGGTTGCCAGCTTGTGTTCTCTGTTAGGTGTTATTTTTTCCCTATTACTCTGATTCTATTATATTGAACTGTTTGCTAGCCTTTCCTGTTTCCTCTTTCCAGCTCTAGATCCTAGAACTCCAGTCAAAATTAGCAGATGGTCATTCTCCCATCTATTAATGTACTTTGCTATATCTGCTCAAAACTTTTATTTATATTTATCAGGTTTTATTATTTTCATGAAACTGTGGGTTATTTTATCCCAATGCCTTGTGTGTTTGTTATATTGAGGGAGGACCTTTCCTGTTCAGACCCTTTATTTCTAATTATTATTATTTTATCCATCCCCTCAAACACTTACCCATTGTGTTACAAACAATCCAATTACAATCTCTAAGTTCTTTAAAAATGTACAATTAAGTTATTATGGACTATAGTCACCCTGTTGTTCTATCAAGTAGTAGGTCTTACTCATTCTCTCTCTTCTTTTTTTTTCTTTGTAGCCATTAACCATCCCCACCTCCCCCACAGTCCCCCACTATACTTCTCAGCCTCTGGTAACCATCTTTCTACTCTCTATGTCTATGAGTTCAATTGTTTTGATTTTTAGATCCCACAAATAAGTGAGAACATGTAATGTCTGCCTTTCTGTGTCTTTCATGTAATGGTTTGTTTTCTGGTTGTTTTATGGTCTTGTCTTCCTTCTTTCTTTCCTTCCTATCCTCCTCTGGTAAAGGTGACAGTCTCCGGTAATATGAATTAGCGTCTTGCTTTTTATTTTTTGTGTATCCATTGTGTTTTTTGGCTTGAGGTTCCCATGAGGCTTGCAAATACTATCTTATAATGACTTATTTCAACCTGATAAAAACACTATTTGCATAAACAAACAAACAAAAAGAAAACTAATACAAACTCTATGCCTTAACTCCATCCCCTGGCATTTTAACTTTTTATTGTTTCTATTTATATCCTATTGTACTAACTATGTCTTGAAATGTTGTTGTAGTTATCATTTTTGATTGCTTCATAGTTAAGTCTTTCTACTTAGGATAAGAGTAGTTTATACACTGCAGTTACAGTGTTATAATATTCTTTGTTTTTCTGCGTACTTACTATTACCAGTGAGTTTTGTACCTTCAGGTCATTCTTTTATTGCTCATTAATGTCCTTTTCTTTCTGACTGAAATACCCCCTGTAGTATTTCTTGTAGGACAGGTCTGGTACTGATGGAATCCCTCATCTTTTGTTTGTCTGGGAAAGTCTTTATTTTCCTTCATGTTTGCAGGATATTTTCACTGGATATACTATTCTAGGCATGACTTTAAATATGTCATGCCACTCTCTCCTGGTCTGTGTGGTTTCCACTGAAAAGTCTGCTGCCAGACATATAGGAGCTCCATTGTATGTTACCTGTTTCTTTTCTCTTGTTGCTTTTAGGATCCTTTCTTTATCTTTGACCTTTTGGAGTTTAATGATTAAATGCCTTGAGGTAGTCTTCTTTGGGAGAAATCTGCTTGCTGTTCCATGATCTTCTTATAATTGAATATTGACATCTTTCTCCAGATTTGGTAAATTCTCTATTATCCCTTTGAATAAACTTTCTACCTCTCTTTCTCTGCCTCCTCTTTAGGGCCAATTACTCTTAGATTTGCCCTTTAGAGGTTATTTTCTAGATCCTGTAGGTGTGTTTTGTTGTTTGAATTTTTCCTTGTGTCTCCTCTGACCATGTATTTTCAAATAAACTGTCTTCAAGCTTACTTTCTTCTGCATAATCCATTCTGCTATTAAGAGACTCTAATGCATTCTTCAGTATGCCAATTGCATTTTTCAGTTCTAGAATTTCTGCTTGATTCTTTTTAATTATTTCAATCTATTTGTTAAATTTATCTAATAGAATTCTGAGTTCCTCCTCTGTGTTATCTGTGTTATCTTGAGTTTTATTATTATTATTATTTTAGTTTCCTCAACACCACTATTTTGAATTCTGTTTTTGAAAGATCACATATCTCTGTTTCTCCAAGATTAGTCCCTGGTGCCTTACTTAGTTCATTTGGTAAGGTCATGTTTTTCTGGATGGTGTTGATGCTAGTAGATGTGCTTTAGTGTTTAGGCATCAAACAGTTAGGTATTTATTGTAGTCTTTACTGTCTGGACTTATTTGTAGTTGTCTTTCTTGGGAAGGCTTTCCAGATATTTGAAAGGACCTGGGTGTTGTAATCGGGCACCCCAAGCCCAGTAACACTGTGGTTCTTGCAGACTTGTAGAGGTACTGCCTTGATGGTCATGGACAAGATCCAGGAGGATTCTCTGGATTACCAGACAGAGACTCTTGTTCCCTTTCCTTACTTTCTTCCAAACATATAGAATCTTTCTCTCTCTCTCTCTCTTTTCTGAGCCACCTAAAGCTGGGGGTGAAGAGACACAAGCACCCCTGTAGCCACCACCGCTATGACAGTGCTGGGTCAGACCTGAAGCCCATGTAGCATTGGGTCTTGCCCAAGGCCTGCTGTAACAACTCCCTGGCCACTGCCTATGTTCACTCAAGGCCCTGGGGCTCTATAATCAGCAGGTGGCTAAGCCAGCCAGGCTTGCGTCCTTCCCTTCAGG
The DNA here is from genome assembly GCF_000001405.40 of Homo sapiens. NCBI lineage: Eukaryota > Metazoa > Chordata > Mammalia > Primates > Hominidae > Homo > Homo sapiens. Next base: position 7,182,311 of record NC_000011.10, on the reverse strand, counting down.
ATGGCAAGCTCCCCCAAGCCCCAGAGGTATCCAGGAGTGCTGTCCAGGAGTCAGGAACTAGAATCAAAAACCTTTAAAGTCTACCTGGTGTTTTATTGCATTGTGGCTGAGCTGGCACTCAAACCACAATATGTAGTCCTTCCCAGTATTCCCTCTTCTTTCCAAAGGCAGGGGAGTCTGACCCCATATCCATTGCCATCCCAGGCCACAAGGAGTACTGCCAGACTACCGGCAGTGTTCCCATAAGGCCCAAAGCCTCTTAAGTCAGCTAGTCGTAAATGGTGCCTGGCCTGGGATTCACCCTTCAAGGCATTGGGCTACCCTCTGACCCAGGGAAGGTCCAGAAATGCCATCCAAGAGTCAAGTCCTAGAATCACGGACCCCAAGAGCCTGCTTGTGCTCTACTCAACCATGGCCAAGCTGGTACCTAAGATGCAAGACAAAATCACCCTTTATTTTTCCCTCTGCTTTTCTCATGCAGAAGGGTTTTGCCCCATATCCCTTATATCTGGTAATGTGCTGAGTCTCACCTGAAGCCAGCAAGTCTCAGAGGCTTATCCAAGGCCCTCTTGTAATACCTGGGCATCACTGCTGGTTATTCAGGGCCCAAGGGCTCTTCAGTTAGTCACTGAATGCTGCCAGGACTGGGTCATTTCCTTCAAGGAAGTGGCTTGTCTACTGGTCCAGGGTGTGTCTAGAAATGTCATCTAGGAGCTAGGGCCTGGAAAGGGGCCTCACGATTCTGAACACTGCCCTATCCTGCTGTGGCTGAGTTGGTATCTTAGATGTAAGACAAAGTCCTCCCCACTCTTCCCTCTCTTCTCTTCAAGTAGAAGAAAAAGGTCTCTTTTGGACCTGTGAGCTGTGCCTTCTGGGATTACGGAAGGGGTGATGCCAGTACTCCCTCAGCCACCCCAGCTGGTGTTGTGTACCCCTCTAGTCCACTGTCTCTGAGCCTAGTTCAGCACCAGGACTCACTTAAGGGTTACAGACCTTATGGCCTAGAATGCCTTTCTTTTTTTTTTCTTTTTTCTTTTTAAAATTTATTTATTATACTTTATGTTCTGGGATACATGTGCAGAATGTGCAGCTTTGTTACAATTGTATCATTCTTTTTTTTATTTTATTATTATTATACTTTAAGTTTTAGGGTACATGTGCACAATGTGCAGGTTAGTTACATATGTATACATGTGCCATGCTGGGGTGCTGCACCCATTGTCCTTTAGCATTAGGTATATCTCCTAATGCTATCCCTCCCCCCTTCCCCCACCCCACAACAGTCCCCAGAGTGTGATGTTCCCCTTCCTGTGTCCATGTGTTCTCATTGTTCAATTGCCACCTCTGAGTGAGAATATGCGGTGTTTGGTTTTTTGTTCTTGCAATAGTTTACTGAGAATGATGATTCCAATTTCATCCATGTCCCTACAAAGGACATGAACTCATCATTTTTCATGGCTGCATAGTATTCCATGGTGTATATGTGCCACATTTTCTTAATCCAGTCTATCATTGTTGGACATTTAGGTTGGTTCCAAGTCTTTGCTATTGTGAATAGTGCCACAATAAACATACATGTGCATGTGTCTTTACAGCAGCATGATTTATAGTCCTTTGGGTATATACCCAGTAATGGGATGGCTGGGTCAAAAGGTATTTCTAGTTCTAGATCCCTGAGGAATCGCCACACTGACTTCCACAATGGTTGAACTAGTTTACAGTCCCACCAACAGTGTAAAAGTGTTCCTATTTCTCCACATCCTCTCCAGCACCTGTTGTTTCCTGACTTTTTAATGACTGCCATTCTAACTGGTGTGAGATGGTATCTCATTGTGGTTTTGAGTTGCATTTCTCTGAAGGCCAGTGATGGTGAGCATTTTTTCATGTTTTTTGGCTGCATAAATGTCTTCTTTTGAGAAGTGTCTGTTCATGTCCTTCGTGCACTTTTGGATGGGGTTGTTTGTTTTTTTCTTGTAAATTTGTTGGAGTTCATTGTAGATTCTGGATATTAGCCCTTTGTCAGATGAGTAGGTTGCGAAAATTTTCTCCCATTTTGTGGGTTGCCTGTTCACTCTGATGGTAGTTTCTTTTGCTGTGCAGAAGCTCTTTAGTTTAATTAGATCCCATTTGTCAATTTTGGCTTTTGTTACCATTGCTTTTGGTGTTTTAGACATGAAGTCCTTGCCCATGCCTATGTCCTAAATGGTAATGCCTAGGTTTTCTTCTAGGGTTTTTATGGTTTTAGGTCTAACATTTAAGTCTTCCATCCATCTTGAATTAATTTTTGTATAAGGTGTAAGGAAGGGATCCAGTTTCAGCTTTCTACATATGGCTAGCCAGTTTTCCCAGCACCATTTATTAAATAGGGAATCCTTTCCCCATTGCTTGTTTTTGTCAGTTTTGTCAAAGATCAGATAGTTGTAGATATGCGGCGTTATTTCTGAGGGCTCTGTTCTGTTCCATTGATCTATATCTCTGTTTTGGTACCAGTACCATGCTGTTTTGGTTACTGTAGCCTTGTAGTATAGTTTGAAGTCAGGTAGCGTGATGCCTCCAGCTTTGTTCTTTTGGCTTAGGATTGACTTGGCGATGCGGGCTCTTTTTTGGTTCCATATGAACTTTAAAGTAGTTTTTTCCAATTCTGTGAAGAAAGTCATTGGTAGCTTGATGGGGATGGCATTGAATCTATAAATTACCTTGGGCAGTATGGCCATTTTCACGATATTGATTCTTCCTACCCATGAGCATGGAATGTTCTTCCATTTGTTTGTATCCTCTTTTATTTCCTTGAGCAGTGGTTTGTAGTTCTCCTTGAAGAGGTCCTTCACGTCCCTTGTAAGGTGGATTCCTAGGTATTTTATTCTCTTTGAAGCAATTGTGAATGGGAGTTCACTCATGATTTGGCTCTCTGTTTGTCTGTTATTGGTGTATAAGAATGCTTGTGATTTTTGTACATTGATTTTGTATCCTGAGACTTTGCTGAAGTTTCTTATCAGCTTAAGGAGATTTCGGGCTGAGACAATGGGGTTTTCTAGATATACAATCATGTCATCTGCAAACTGGGACAATTTGACTTCCTCTTTTCCTAATTGAATACCCTTTATTTCCTTCTCCTGCCTAATTGCCCTGGCCAGAACTTCCAACACTATGTTGAATAGGAGTGGTGAGAGAGGGCATCCCTGTCTTGTGCCAGTTTTCAAAGGGAATGCTTCCAGTTTTTGCCCATTCAGTATGATATTGGCTGTGGGTTTGTCATAGATAGCTCTTATTATTTTGAGATACGTCCCATCAATACCTAATTTATTGAGAGTTTTTAGCATGAAGGGTTGTTGAATTTTGTCAAAGGCTTTTTCTGCATCTATTGAGATAATCATGTGGTTTTTGTCTTTGGTTCTGTTTATATGCTGGATTCCATTTATTGATTTGCGTATATTGAACCAACCTTGCATCCCAGGGATGAAGCCCCTTGATCATGGTGGATAAGCTTTCTGATGTACTGCTGGATTCGGTTTGCCAGTATTTTATTGAGGATTTTTGCATCAATGTTCATCAAGGATATTGGTCTAAAATTCTCTTTTTTGCTTGTGTCTCTGCCCAGCTTTGGTATCAGGATGTTGCTGGCCTCATAAAATGAATTAGGGAGGATTCCCTCTTTTTCTATTGATTGGAATAGTTTCAGAAGGAATGGTACCAGTTCCTCCTTGTACCTCTGGTAGAATTCGGCTGTGAATCCATCTGGTCCTGGACTCTTTTTGGTTGGTAAGCTATTGATTATTGCCACAATTTCAGAGCCTGTTATTGGTCTATTCAGAGATTCAACTTCTTCCTGGTTTAGTCTTGGGAGGGTGTATGTGTCAAAGAATTTATCCATTTCTTCTAGATTTTCTAGTTTATTTGTGTAGAGGTGTTTGTAGTATTCTCTGATGGTAGTTTGTATTTCTGTGGGATCGGTGGTGATATCCCCTTTATCGTTTTTTATTGCGTCTATTTGATTCTTCTCTCTTTTCTTCTTTATTAGTCTCGCTAGCGGTCTATCAATTTTGTTGATCCTTTCAAAAAACCAGCTCCTGGATTCATTAATTTTTTGAAGGGTTTTTTGTGTCTCTATTTCTTTCAGTTATGCTCTGATTTTAGTTATTTCTTGCCTTCTGCTAGCTTTTGAATGTGTTTGCTCTTGCTTTTCTAGTTCTTTTAATTGTGATGTTAGGGTGTCAATTTTGGATCTTTCCTGCTTTCTCTTGTGGGCATTTAGTGCTATAAATTTCCCTCTACACACTGCTTTGAATGTGTCCCAGAGATTCTGGTATGTTGTGTCTTTGTTCTCGTTGGTTTCAAAGAACATCTTTATTTCTGCCTTCATTTCGTTATGTACCCAGTAGTCATTCAGGAGCAGGTTATTCAGTTTCCATGTAGTTGAGCGGTTTAAACCCATCTCACGTGCAGAGACACACATAAGCTCAAAATAAAAGGATGGAGGAAGATCTACCAAGCAAATGGAAAACAAAAAAAGGCAGGGGTTGCAATACTAGTCTCTGATAAAACAGACTTTAAACCAACAAAGATCAAAAGAGACAAAGAAGGCCATTACATAATGGTAAAGGGATCAATTCAACAAGAAGAGCTAACTATCCTAAATATATATGCACCCAATACAGGAGCACCCAGATTCATAAAGCAAGTCCTGAGTGACCTACAAAGAGACTTAGACTCCCACACAATAATAGTGGGAGACTTTAACACCCCACTGTCAACATTAGACAGATCAACGAGACAGAAGGTTAACAAGGATATTCAGGAATTGAACTCAGCTCTGCACCAAGTGGACCTAATAGACATCTACAGAACTCTCCACCCCAAATCAACAGAATATACATATTTTTCAGCACCACACCACACCTATTCCAAAATTGACCACATAGTTGGAAGTAAAGCTCTCCTCAGCAAATGTAAAAGAACAGAAATTATAACAAACTGTCTCTCAGACCACAGTGCAATCAAACTAGAACTCAGGATTAAGAAACTCACCTAGAATGCCTTTCAAGTTTACTTGGAGACAGAATGCTGTAATCTTTGGTGCTGAGGTTTAGGATTGCAGGCATGCGAGTTCTGACCCCTGGGATTGGCAATTCCCCTCTGGCTAGGGCTGTTTTAAATGCTCCCTCTGTGGGTGGGTATCAGTTGAGTTTGGTCTGGTTTTGCTTTCTTCTCTAACAGGATAGCATTGAGTTCAGTGCCTCACAATTGTATTCTCCCTCCCTCAGCACCCAGAGATGCTCCCTGCACCAAGCTGCCATGCAGTCAGTGTCGGGGTTGGGTGGGGATTCAGGGCTGCTTTGTTTTTCTATCACTTCAGTGCCCCTTTCCGCAATAAGAAGTTAAAAGCAGGTACTACGAATGCTCGCCTGATTTTTGCTTCGGTGTAGATAGTTGTTAACTGGGTGTCATTGCAGAGGATGGGAGCCATGACTACTGGAGCTTTCTATTTCACAATCTTGCTCTGCCTCCTCTCTGTATTTACTATTAATACATTCAAATATTAATGATTTGTTTTTGTCTTGGAAGTGATATATCTTCTTTAGTAAAAAATTAATGCTGTTAGCTCTTGCCAATTCTTTGAGATTTTCTAACTACACAGAAATTATCTACAGGTAATAAAATATTGCTCCGATATTTCCAGTATTTACTGACCTCTTCTATTGGAGTAAGAGAACACAGCATCACTGTCCAGATATCCTATCCACAAGAGTGAGCACTGGTGTCATTGATGACAACAAAGCACATTCATTAGCAATGTGGGCTACAGAGGTGTAATTAGAGGACCTAAGAGACATAACACATATGTGGGATGATCATTGGAGACTTCCAGAAACAACTGAAAGAGAATTTGCAGAATGGGAAATACCTTATGGTAAGTAAGGACCACAGCCAGAAAAATCTAGTTTATTAGTAGATTTTGTTTATTACTTTTAATATGTTACTTGGCCTTTGTGACCAGAGAAACATGGTTTAGACAACATCAACTATGAAAGTATACAAGAACTGAACAGTTTGGCTAAAAACAAAATATCATAAACATTCTAGAAACAGCAAATAGGACAAAAATAATTAAGAACTCAAAAGTTAAATTTCAAATATCTTTCCTAGAGAAATGATGCAGATGGATTCATAAACTAACAGGCCAGCCTAGACATTAACTTAGAAAGAAATGACAAAGATTCCTGTTTCCAGATTCTTATATTTTACAAATTTTTCTCTTTTTTTAAAATTTGAAGACTAACTTAGTGTTATCTTTCTTTGAGCCAAGTAAGAATGTTAAAGAAAAAAAAACACTACCATTATCATTTTTTCATAAGACAAAGAATACTTTGTAATAAAAAATTTAGGGATGATATAGAGACTCAGAATAAAGATGAGTTTTGTAAGTCGAAGACACTTATCTTTATTACAAACTAATTTTATTATCCCAATTTTTTCAATTAGCCAAAGATAAGTGCAAACTTCATCTGGGACTGGCACTGGCTCACAGACTGGTGAAAGGTTATCATACCAGGAAGATATTTAGAAATGCGTTCAACTGATGAAATGGGTACTAACCAATCAAGATGGGTGCTACAACTAGAATAGATGGCAACTGTACACAACCAGCTGAACATAAAACCTAAGGAGTGTCACAGATGCAAATCCAACCTGTGCATAATTGTGGTGCCAAAAGAGATGTGAAAAAATTAAACAATTACAAAACTAAGAAATTAACCTAAAGCAATTTTCCTGAATTGATAAAAAACATGTATCCTCGAGTTTGAGAGAGATCGAACATGTCTTCCATCATTAGCATGGAAGGGAGACAGAGAGTCACAGATATGTTACTTAACTTCTCAGATTACAAATTTAAAGAAATCGAACTACATGCAGATAGAAGGAGAGGAGACCTAACATCCAAAGGTGGTGAAAAAAGAAAATCTTCACTTTCACAACCTAAAGATTAGAGGGCTGAAGAGTCTGGGAAAATCCTTATAGAGCACTTATGGGGTATGTTTTCTTACCACAGATCAATTATCTTGCTAAGTTGCTGTTCCCTTTGAAGGAAAAAAGAAAACACTTCCAAACCACAATAACAGAAAATTCCCTGCCTCTGGCAAATACTATGATGATTGATTGAGCTGGTTTTACAGAGAGTATACATTGAAGAGATAAGTGGGCAACATCTTAACATGCATGGGTGGGCTAACAAGGGACAATTGTGAAGTAGAAAACAAACTACAGTAACTATAAGGTCTGAGAAAAAAAGCCATAAAAGGTATTAAGATTATCAGGAAATTACAAGGAAGATTAAATGCAGGTAAGTGTTAAAAGTAAAAGGACTAAACAGTAAAAGAAAATAAAATGAAACTCTAGTTCTCCAGATGGTCGTGCAAAAAATTTTTTTTTATTATTATACTTTAAGTTCTGGGGTACATGTGCAGAATGTGCAGTTTTGTTACATAGGTATACACGTGCCATGGTGGTTTGCTGCATCCATCAACCCGTCACCTACATTAGGTATTTTTCCTAATGCTATCCCTCCCCTAGCCACTCACCCGCCGGCAGGCCCCGGTGTGTGATGCTCCCTCCCTGTGTCCATGTGTTCTCATTGTTCAACTCCCACTTATGAATGAGAACATGCGGTGTTTGATTTTCTGTTCTTGTGTTAGTTTGCTGAGAATGATGGTTTCCAGCTTCATCCATGTCCCTGCAAAGGACATGAACTATGGAACTGCATAGTATTCCACGGTGTATATGTGACACATTTTCTTTATCCAGTCTATCATTGATGGACATTTGGGTTGGTTCCAAGACTTTGCTATGGTGAATAATGCTGCAATAAACATATGTGTGCATGTGTCTTTATAGTAGAATGATTTATAATCCTTTGGGTATATATGGAGTAATGGGATTGCTGGGTCAAATGGTATTTCTAGTTCTGGATCCTTGAGGAATCACCACACTGTCTTCCACAATAGTTGAATTTTTAAAAACAGTTCTTTTCAAACAGGCGTCAAGATTGGATGTAAGTAGTCAGGTAGTAAGTTTAGATGTTCTTAAAAGTTGATTAGCTCCCTGTGGAGAGGACTAAAGAAATACTTAGGCATTTATCCTTTGACTGAGCAAATCCTAGTTCTAGAATTTACCTTGAAGATACATTTCCACAAATATGAAACAACATATGCACAAGGTTTTTTATCGCAGCATGATTTATAATAGTAAAATCTATTGAAATGCGGGGCAACACAAATTCCTATTAGTAGGAGCATATTTAAATAAACTGCATCCACCTAATGAAGTACTATGGCAGCTGTAAAAATAATTAAGAAGAATTCTATGAATTGATATGAAGTAATTTCCTTTTTTTGGTTTGTTTGTTTGTTTGTTTGTTTGAGACAGTGTCTCGCTCTGTCGCCCAGGCTGGAGTGCAGTGGCGCCATCTCAGCTCACTGCAACATCTGCCGCCTGGGTTCAAGCAATTCTCCTGCCTCAACCTCCCAAGTAGCTGGGATCACAGGCGTGTATCACCACACCCAGCTAATTTTTGTATTTTTAGTAGGGGTTTCAGCATGTTGGTCAGGCTTATCTTGAACTCCTGACCTCAAGTGATTCACCTGCCTTGGACTCCCAAAGTGCTGGGATCACAGGCGTGAGCCACCGTGCCCGGCCAGTAATTTCCATTTTTAATTTCCACAGATAAGTAGAAAAAAGGGTACAAAAGAGTATATAGATAGAATGCTTTCTTTTGTGTAAAAAAAGAAGGGAAAACAAAAATAAAACATATGATCATTTTTGCAAAAAGAAACTCAAGAAGGATGAATCAGAGACTAATGATAACGATTACCTAAATTGGGTGGTTGCCTTATATGGCTACCTGAAGTGTGTGGGAGTAGGGGGAGCGGATAAAATTAGGAGCAAAAACATGAATATGCCTCTATCTGACTATACCTTTTCTTATAGTTTACCTTTATCTGAGTACACATTTTCATATAGTTTTGATTTTTGAGTAATGTATATGCTTTATATATTCAAAAAATTAAACAAAATAACAAGGATTTAAAAACAAAACACCTAAAACAGAATATAAACACGTGTCTAACCATATATAAATTGATGACATAACACAAGAAAGTAAAATTATTTTAAATTAACACTGTCCTTACATCTTTAGTAGCATCTATTCTGAGGACAAAATGAACTGCAAAGAAATCTTGAAGTATTTATTATAGTTTATTGTTAGTAATATTGGTATTATAATTCTGAAATAGTTTTATGTATATTGTAGAATAAAGTAAATAGGTAGGTACCAAGATTTTCACTGTAAGAAAAAGACAAAATATGATATAAGTGAACACAATAAAATGTCTAATATGGTCAATCTTCATTGGGAATATTAGTATGAAGTCATAATTTTCTATATTTGTTCCTTGTTCTGTCCTTTAAAAATGCTGAGAAGCAATACTACTCTAAACAACAATAAACAAATGCCTAAAGCATACATTTTGGTTGCTAAATACCATTTCCCACTTTGAGGAATAAAGGCTTCTTGGAGAAATGGATGATTCCAAGTCTAGTACAGGAAAAATACAAGGTTAATTTAGGATATTGTATAATATAAGAAAACAAGAAGGTGCTCAATGAGTAATGGAGTGGTGCCAAAAGGACACAGGAGCAAATTTGAAGGGACTTCCACTTTTCACTATCCACATTTTAGAGAATTTGAACATAAAAAATCATGAAAATGTTAATAACAGTTGATTTTTAATAAATAAAAATATTTAAATAAATTCTGAGTCTGTAATGATACATCTATACACACAGCTAAAGTAAAAAGGGAAAGCTCTTCTCTAGGGAAGAAATGCTAGTGAGTAAATGTAAAAGGATGGATAGAATTAGCAAACTACCATTTGCAACCACAGTTTCAAAATTGATTCAGTCAAGGATTATGGATTGATTCTAAAATGACTAGATGCAGAGTGGCTATTATTAAAAAGTCAAAAAATAACAGATACTGGTGAGGCTGTGGAGAAAAGAGAACACTTATCCACTGTTGGTGGGAATGTAAATTCATTCAGCCACTGTGAAAAGCAGTTTGGAGATTTCTCAAAAACTTGAAACAGCTACCATTCGACCCAGCAATCCCATTACTGGGTATATACCCAAAGGAATATAAATTGTTGTAACAAAAAGATACATGCATGCATATGTTCATCACAGCACTATTCACAATAGCAAAGACATGGAATCAACCTAGGTGCCCATCAGTGGTGGACTGGATAAAGAAAATTTGGTACATGTACACCATGGAATGCTATGCAGCCATAAAGAAGAATGAAATCATGTCCTTTGCAGCAACATGAATGAAGCTGGAGGTCATATCCTAAGTGAATTAATGCAGGAACAGAAAACCAAATACTACATGTTCTCACTTATAAGTGGGAGCTAAACACTGAGTACAAATGGACATAAAGATGGGAACAACAGACTCTGGGAACTACTAGAGACAGGACGGAAGGAAGAGTTGTGGGTTGAAAAACTACCTATCAAGTACTATGCTCACTACCTGACTGATGGGATCTGTACCCCAAACCTCAGCATCACGCAATATACCCATGTAACAAATGAGTACACATGTACCTCCTGAAACTAAAATAAAAGCTGAGATTATTTTTTAAAAAATGACTACTAGGCAGATGGTGACTGGGGAGCATGAGATTCACATCGTCTAAAAGTATCACCCCACAGATCAATTACTAACTCAAAGGAAAACCGTTGGCTTCTACCAGATCTCATGTTCATTGATTTAATCACATCATTAAACTTAGCACTAAGACTGAGACGACCTGACCTTATGTGCCTGGTGATAAAATGCAGTAAGAAGAATACAATTTCACCTGTGAAGTGTATGGTTTAACATGAATCAAATCAAGCCTCAGATCTGTCTTTCAGTTTGCAGGAAACTTAGGGATAAAAGAACAAGTTTAATGGCACCATGAGAAAACAATCAACCTACTCCAGAATGTGGACTTTCTACAAACTCCAACAAATTAGCAGAGCTGTTTTAGATTGAAAATGACTAAAGAGATACAGCATCCAAATGCACTATGCTATCTTTAACTAGATCCTTCATCTAAACAAACAAACAAAAATAGATACAAAAAACTTTTGTGACAGTGGAGGATATTTTAATATGAACTGGATATTAGATGATGCTATTTTTTTAAGTGTGAGAATGATATTGTGCTTATGTAGGAGTATTTCTTTTTTTTTTTTTTTTTAATTTCTGAGATGGAGTCTCGCTCTGTCACCCAGGCTGGAGTACAGTGGCGCAATCTCGGCTCACTGCAACCACCACCTCCCGGGTTCAAGCAATTCTCCTGCCTCAGCCTCCTGAGTAGCTGGGATTACAGGTGCACACCACCACGCCTGGCTAATTTTTGTATTTTTAGTAGAGATAGGGTTTCACCATGTTGGTCAGGCTGGTCTTGTATTCCTGACTTCGTGATCCACCCGCCTTGGCCTCCCAAAGTGCTGGGATTACAGGCATGAGTCACTGTGCCCGGACAGGAGGATTTGTGTTTTTTTAATCCCTCAGGGACTTAAGGTTGTGTATATATTTTGAAGAATAGTTTACGGTAACTGCAACTTAATTTCAAATGAGTCAGCAAAAATAGATTATGATTTTATTTATTTACTTTTTTGATGCTCAAATCATCCAAAATTTAGCCAGATAGGGAGACAAACAGACAGAAACCGAGTGAAAGCAATTATGGTAAAATCTAACAATTGGAACAATTGGTAAATCTGGGTGAAGGGTGTACGAGTGTTTTCTGTTCTATTTCAACTTTTGTGTATGTGTGAAGTTTTTCAAAATAAAAAGTTGGGAGCAAACATGGATTAGGACTTCCTAATGGCAGATTGCCTAAATGCACCCAGTGCCCTCTCTTCTATGCCTTACCCCCAATTATGGAAGAGGAATAAAAATCTCAAGGAGAAAGAATAAAGGATTGGAGGTGATAGTAATGAAACTGGGGAGTTGGAAAACAAATAGACAAATGCAAACAATTTTGCCAATTGGAAAAAGAGTGCTGCAACCAAAAACAGAAAAGGTAGAGTCCCATAAGTAGACTGACTCACACCCCTAAACTTCAGAAAGGTTCTAGAATTGGAGTACCTTGGTGGTGTTCCATAGGGCCTTGAAAAATAACGACAGAAAAAATTCCATAAAAGAAGTAATTAAGTGTCCACATCCTCTCCTTGACCTTCTACAGATTATTGTCTGACCCTCCACCCCAGCAGAAGATTGAAAGTTAATTATGTAGAGAAGATAAACTGGAGGGATTTAGTATGGAGACAACAAGCACATATAAGAGCTAGAATAAGGCAGTGTAAACTAGAGGAAGAAATTAAATAAGCACGTTTTAACCCTCCTTTGCCCTCTCAGCTTCTAAATTGGTGACAGTCAGAATTGCCCCGAACTATATACATACACAGGAAATTGGGGGATTAACTTATGGGGCAAACATCTGACCAAGATAAAACATGTGGATATTGACACTTTGTGGTCCTCAAATAAAATAGATTTGCACTTAGTATTTACCCAATAGAAAAGATCAGCTGTTTACAATACTCCTATGAACACAAAGCTTCCAACCGGCATTATACTATCTCACGCCAAACATAAATGGTAGCCAAGGATCACCAGATACTTGAAGAAAGTTTCTAACAAAAATGGCATAAACCAAAATAAGAAAAGAACACCAATAATTTTTAATGCCAACATCAGAAGGATTTTTTAAAAAATAATATTATAGGAACAGAAAACCAAACACCACATGTTCTCACTCATAAGTGGAGTTGAACAATGAGAACACATGGGCACAGGGAGGGAAACATCACACACCGGGGCCTGTCAGGAGGTGGGGGGAAGGGGAGGGAGAGCATTAGGACAAATACCTAATGCATGTGGGGCTTAAAACCTAGATGATGGGTGGATGGGTGCAGCAAACCACCGTGGCACACGTATACCAAGTAACAAAACTGCACGTTCTGCACATGTATCCCAGAACTTAAAGTATAACAAATAATATTATAAGTATCCTTATATATCTGAGAGAATGTGTTATATTACTGTTATCTAGAGTTTTAGGATCTCTTTTTTTGAGTCTCGATTATTACAGAGTATGTAATGTCTTTAATTTTCTTTAGCATACAAAATAGTTGTTTTCCAAAATTTTTATCTACTTTCTGGAAAATATGTTCGTATGTATCTTTACATCTATAATTTTGTATGTGGTGCTTATTTGTTGATTTGTAGCCAAATTTTACACTGATCCTGGTTTTTGTGCTGTTCACACCTGCTGCTTACCTAAGAATGCTCTCTTCCCTCTTTCCCTGGGCTCTGCTTTTAGACCTTAATTTGGGATGGCAGATACTATCTTGTTAGTCAGCTGCCTGGGTCCCTGGGAGAATAAAAGGAGCTGTTTGAGGACAGATTATTTGGGAAATCCTTGCTTTGTGTTCTAGCCGCTGTGAAAAGGCTTACCCCAGTTCTATTGCATATCCTTTTTTCTCATTGTCCCTACAACATAATGGTTTAGGTGCTTGAGGAGATACAATTCTGAGTTATGAGACCTACACAGTACATAGAAACAGCTTGAAGGAATTTGTTTAGGGCATATGAATGTCTTTCAGAAATTCACTGAGATTAATGTCTGGCAGCTTGCCAATTTTTGTCTGTGATTCTGCCATTTTCTAGAGCTGCCCATGAATAACAATGGCAAATATCTCTTCCTTGCTACACGGAGAAACTTGAGATTTTGATTTTTTTTAACAATTCTTTCTACTGACTGCCAAATGTTAGGTAAGTCAACCAGCTACAGAATCCTTGTTCTTTTATTCAGGTATCCATTCGTTCAATCAACCAATATCTATTCAGCAGCTACTTGGTGCCAGGCACTGAAGTGGGTGTTGGGTACACAATGATGACTGAAACAGTATCACTGCCTCACTGAAACAGGATTACTGTCACTTGGGGACAGTAAACATGTAAAGTAGTAACTGCAGTGCAATATTACAAATGCTATAACTGCTGTACAGGCAGGACCCTAGTGGAGGACAGAGGAAGGCACACTTAAACCCTACTAGAAAGGCAAGAGAAATCTTTTGGGAAGAGGTGACACTGATGTGTGTCTTGAAAGATAATACAAGAGTTTACAAAGTTGAGAAGGCCATGGTAGAAAGAGAGAACATCTTGAGTAAAGTTTTAGACTTAAGAAATATCACATATAGGAAAAAGATCACAACCAGTCTAGCTTGCCTGCAATTCACAAAACGTGTGGAGGAGATGAAGGAAAGGAGTGTGAGAAGATACTTAAGGCAAAGATTTTCATGCATTTTATAGGTCAAGAAAACAAGTTTGGAATTTTTGCAAAAAGGATTTTTTACAAATAAAAAGTGGCATTAGGTGTGACTAATATGCTTTAGTCACTTCAAAAGTTAGCCTAAAACAATCTACATCTGAAATGGGCCAATTAAAGTATTGATCTTCATTCTCCTGAGATTCAGATTTCTTCATTTATGGGTAATTTATCAAATATCAATATGATCTTCATTATTGACAATTCATTTGCTGACAAAGACTTCCTCTTTGATCAAAATTTAGTCAGGCTCCTCTGAGCCCTCTTCATGACAAGGCCTCGATCTTGGCCCCCATCCTTCTGGGCCTGCCTAACCCAGTTTGAGCAAACAATTCTGCTAAGGTAATGTACAGACAGTCTCCCACCCTTGAAATCTGATCCCCCATCAATACCTGATCAAATTCCTCATCCCCTGATCCTTAATATCTCATCACCCTGGCCTGTCTTCAGCAAGAATCTTGTTGATTTGGCAGGAATCCCCCTCCTCTGTATGTCTCCTCAGTAATTTTTCATCCATTGACCCCTTCATTTTGCTCGTTGGCTGTAAATCTCCAGCTCTCTTTGTCGTATTTGGAATTGGGCCCAGTTCTAGACTAATATCTCTATTACCCTATTGCAATAGTTCCTGAATAAAATCTGTTTTGATAGCTTTAACTACTGCCTGGCTCTGTTTCACGTTGACAGCTACACACAGTCTATATTTGTTTGCTTTAAAAAAAAGACAAGTACTGCTTTATTTTGAACAAGACCATTGCCTATGCCAACTCTTTTTGATTGATAGGTTTGATTAATTTCTCTATTTTTAAACTTTTCTTCTTGTGGGAATACGAGTAAATAGATGAGTAGACAAGTATCTCCACAGACCGTGAAGCAAGACTTCCATGATAATCATGCAATCGAAGTATAAAGGGGAAAGAAATAGCCATCTATTTTAAAAATTTACCCAATAAGTAATAATAACCTGAACTTAGGCAGGAGTACTGTGTGTCATGGGAATTGAGATGAGGTGATAAGCTTGAGAGTTATTTAACAAAGAGAATTGGCAAGATTTAATAATATTAGAGGTAAGAAGTAGGGGAAAAACTAGAAAAATTTTCATCTTTTTCACTAATTATGGGAATGGGGAAAAAATCCACAAAACCAGTTATGGACATTCCAGATTTACACTAGAAATGGAAGTTTCATACAGAACAGTATAAAGGAAAGATGGAAATGGTCAAATGGCTAGTCACACCACATGCCTGTATGAATCCAGGAATAAGCAGTGTACATGAGATGAGGCTCCCCTCGGATTTTAGCAATGATGGATTTCACTGGCAAAGAACAAGAAGGCACAATGGACTGGAGAGTTTGCTACTGCACCCCTCTATGTGTGGGAGGTATCTCAGGTTTACCTAAACATTCACACTTAAAGAGGCTTCTGCATTAACTAAAGCATTTTCCCCTGTCAAGCAATGGTTAGTATTACTACTAAGCAGGCTAAGCATAGATTCTTCTCCAAGTTACAGAACTCCAAGCTCATGTCTTTCAAAGCTTAGTTACTGCTTCTTCCTTCCTCCATCCATTGCTTAATGGTCACTTGCTCTTGGCTTTTTGGGTGGAAAATTTCTGGCTAGGCTACACATTTGCTACAGTTGCAAAGCTCTCTAATCCTGAGGCACTGGGAAGCCTCTCTTATTTGCCTCTTTGGCTTTCTGCCAGCTCCTCCTCTTGCGTGCCTCCCTGGACTCTGGGGCCTGCCTGATCTTGGATCCGTCCTATTATTCTTCTTTCGACATCCAGACACCCCTGGTTATAGATCCTGGCTAACTTTGCCTCTCATATCTGTGAGATCTGGTGGTAGACCCAATGATGAACTTGCTGCACCAGCTGCTTGGAGTGCTGTCAGTCACAGCCTTCAGCTGCCAGCCCCTTTAGAGATTGCAGAGAGCTGCCTTTCCCAGTGTTTTACTCCTTCCTGGGCTGGCCCACATCCAGTGACTCACTGATGCAGGAGTGTAAAGTCTTGGCCATCTAGACCCAACTTGGGACAACTTTAAAGGGCCATTGTGCTCCCGAGTCTCACTGAGGTTGGGTCTGCATTGCAGCTTGACTTTCCCCTCTATATATTCCTGTTTTCTTCCTTTGCCTCTCTTCCATGGGTGTTGATTCTAAGGATACTCCTTAATAAACATCCTGTTTGGTAAACTCCATCGCAGCATCTACTTTCCAGTGAATGCAACCTGCAACACCACAGGTATGTATGTGTGTGTATATACATGTGTGTGTATATATATGTGTGTGTATATATATATCTATATATGTATTTATGTATATATCTATATTTAAAATTTTCACTTACCTTTACGAAGTGTAATAAAAATTCTCTAATAGTCACAAAATAGGAAGAATATTGGAATATTGTTATCAGCTCCCATATAACCATCATCCACATTCAATGGTCATCAAAATTCACTCTACTTGCTTCATCTATTTCTTTTAACTTGTGGTGAAAATGCATTTTAAAGCAAATTGCATAGCTTCAGTTGCTTAAGTAGGTATAGTGTTTTAAAAGTATATTTTCTTACACAAGAACAATGCCATTATTAAATGAACAAAATTTCAGTAATTCTTTGATATTATCTAATACCCAAATCCATATTCAAACTTCCCCAATTGTCTCAAAACTATCTTTTCAGTTGATTTTGAGTCAGAATTCAAACATAGTCTACACATTGAGTTTGATTATCATACCTCCTAAAAGTCTTTTAATCTTAAGCAATCTTTCCTTCTTTTAAAAAAAATTATCTAATTTGTTGACGAAACCATGTAACTTGTCCTGTTGAATGTCCACATTCTGGATAAATCTATTTGCTTCCTTATAGTGTCATTTAATCTGTTCTTCTCTTTGCCTGCTTCCTGTACATTGGAGTTAGGCTTGAGTAGATTCAGGTTTAATTTGGGAAGGGAGAGCAAGAATCCTTTATAAATAGTATAGCTTCAGTTTCACATGAGGAAGCTCACAATGTCTGCTTGTCTAAGACTGACCTGTAGTTTTAGATGGTGACAACCTGGCCTCTGTATTGTAAAGTTACCCATTTATCTTTTATTTAATAGTTTTATCTATAAGTTATTTCATTAGGGGTTGCAAAATACTTATTTTTCTAATTCTATTATTGTTTCCTAACTTATTATCTATAATTCTTCAGGAACTTTCCCTTATTAGCTATGGCTGTTTGGATACCTTGAAACGGGATTTGCATAAAAAAGGCAAAATAAATTTTTTTGTTGTTGTTTTTTGTTTGTTTGTTTGTTTTTGAGACAAAGTTTCACTCTTGTTGCCCAGGCTGGAGTGCAATGGCGCGATCTTGGCTCACTGCAACCTCCGCCTCCCGGGTTCAAGTGATTCTCCTGCCTCCGCCTCCTGAGTAGCTGGGATTACAGGCGCCTGCCACCACGCGTGGCTAATTTTTTGTATTTTTAGTAGAGACGGGGTTTCACCATGTTGTCTAGGCTGGTCATGAACTCCTGAGCTCAGGTGATCCACCTGCCTCGGCCTCCTAAAGTGCTGGGGTTACAGGCGTGAACCACTGCGCCCAATAAATGTTTAATTCTTTCTCTTTTATTACTACTTTTCAGCATTAGGAGTTGATGCCCTGGTTGACCCTGGTTTTTTTCCTTTGAAATATTATTATAAACTCATGGATTTCTGTATATTTAGTATGTTTCAAACTATTGTAATAATTATTCTTTTGATTCTCAGATTGTTCCATATTGGGCTAATAAAATTCTTTTAATTTTGACTGTGCCTATGTGTGTGTGCACACGAATGTATGTGTATGGATGTGTGTGTTTACTTTTTAAATAAAATTTTTATTTTAAAATAGTTATTAAATTTGTGAAGATAGTACAGAGTTCCCATATATCTCCACACCCAGTTTCCGCTATAATTAACAACTTACATTAATATGATACATTTGTCACAATTAATTTTAAAAATTGATACATTATTAACTAAAGTCCATAATTTATCCAGATTTCCCTCGTTTTTAACTTCATGTCATTTTTCTGTCTCAGGAACACATCTGGAATACCACACTAAACTCAGTTATAGGTCTCTTGAGGCTCCTCTCAGCTGTGACAGTTTCTCAGATCTTGCTTGTTTTTGATGACCCTTGACAGTTTTGAAGAGTACTGGTCACGTATTCTGTAGACTGTCCCTCAGTGAGAATGTGTCTGATATTTTTCTGACAATTTGACTAGGGCTATGGATTTCTGGGAAGCAGATCAGGAAGGAAAAGCGGCATCCCTATCACATCATTTCAGAGGTGCATACTATCAACGTGATTTATCAGTGCTGCTGTTGATCACTTAGATGAGGTAGTGTTTGTCGGGTTTCTCCACTGAAAGTTATTTTCTTTTCCCGCTTTCCATGCTATGCTGTTTTGGAGGAAGTCATAGATGGAGCCCACACTAGTGGGGTGGTGAGTTATGCTCCACCTTCTTAAGGGCAGATGTCTAAATGAATTATTTGGAATTCTTCATCATGGGAGGTTTGTCTCTCCTCCATCGTTTAGTTACATATTCAGTTACTTATTTATATTCATATTAGTGCGGACTCATGAATATTTATTTTATACTTTGGCTTATAATCCAATACTATTTTATTTATTTTATTGCTCAGCTGGCTTCTCTGTTCTTTTGATGTGTGCATGTGTCTGTGTATGTGTGCATGTGTATTTGGGCACTTCCTTTCTGGCATAAGATCCTCCCAGTTCATATTGACTATTTCCAACCCCAGTCCCAGAAACATTCATTTTTCTAAGAATCCATAGTTCCTCTTGTTGGAGAATGGTATTGGAAAGTAAGATCTGGGTGCTAAGTATGCTCATTGCTATTAGGGTGTTGTTGCTTCTAGGACCTTTCAGATGACAGAGTAAGGAAATACATGTGTGTATACTAACTTATATATACACATGTCTATAATTATTTCTTTATAATATTTATATAAATGTATATTCTAGATGTAATCCTATATATAATATATAATTATTTCTGTATATAATCATCTGTATGTATATTAAGCTAAACATGCATTCATACTGATATCTGTGACTCAAATCCATTACCACATGGACAATTCTAGCTTACTCCCCTTGCTTGTCTAACTTCCAGCAGTGAGAAACCTGGCTCACACCATCTGCCATCCATGTACTTAATTGTTCCATTTCGGTTTACACATATAGTGGTTTCAGAATTATTAATCCATATCCCCATGGGCATCAAATTATCAATGAGAGGATGATGCTTATATTCCTTTGTCTTTATTATTAGAGACTTCATTCATTTTCAAAATTATTTGTCAGCATCTTTTTCTGCCACTTTCCCGCTCCCTTCAGTAAGACGGTTTCATACAACATAATTGTAATACAATTAGATTCTTCTGCCACTGTCTGCATTGAAATCCCTGACCTTCTAAATGACTTTTAAAATTTGCAAACACTAAAGTTCACTCTACTTTTCTAATGTTCTATAGGTTTTGATAAATACGTAGTGTCATGTATCCACCATTACAGTATTATATATTATAAAATAGTTTAACCACTCTAAAAAAATCCCTGTCTTTCATTTATTCAATGGTCCTCTTCCCTGAACCTCTGGCAACCAATGACATTTTAAAGGGTATTGTAAACATTACTGCAGACTAATAACTGTTTGGCACACCTGAATGGCACTATGGACAGTGACATAGAGACTCTGCTACAAACAACTCTGAAGCTTACTGAGTGAACACTATCACTTCCAAGAAAATAGACAACAAAACGTCAGATCCAAAAGATCTCATGGAATGTAGGAGATGTACAGGGATGAGAAGAGGGAAGTGTAAATAGTATAAATTTTAAATGAAAGGATAGGCATAGCCTATACTTAGTGCAAGGAACATTTTCTTGGAAATGTCAAAAGATTTCCACCAATTTCTACTGATATTTACCTTCTGTTGTCTTGTCCATTACATCAAATGCCTTGAACCACTGTCAACTTTACATTTTAAAATTGGCATAAAAATTTTCCTTGGAAATTTTGTGGCACTACAAGAACTCCCTTGGCATATTTTTTAATAACCAGAAAGTGTTGAAATCATTCACAAAAACAAGTTAATAATGGCAGAAAGTAACATCAGTCTGACTCTCAAGCCCATATTCTAACCACTCTAGTATACTACTCCCTGACATCTCTCTACTGTGCTGGTGACTGAACGTGGGAAAGATATATGTTAATTATACTCATATATCTAATATAGATGTATATGTATATAAATATAGGTACATGCTACTTATGATATGAAAAGCAAAATAAAGAATAATGAATTGACGCTTTATGCAGAAACACTGAGGTAAAACTCTATTGTTAAAATAAAGTACTAAAAATGGCCTGGAAATGTCAGTGGAAATTCAATAGTCTATTTATCATTCTCTAACACTATTCTCTTAAACACCTCTGTGCTTCTACACCAGATGTTTTCAATGCCTAGACTGCCCTTTCCATCCTTAGCTGACTGTTGAATAATAATTACTACTCATCTTTAAAGATACATGATATTATCATTTCCTACATGGAAACTTCTCCAACTCCCCCAAGCAGAATTAGTCACACACTTGGCTAAACTCTCATTATTTTGTTTATACACCTTTTATACAATCTGTAAATGCTCAGTGCAGAAAACAGAAACCACTCTTAGTAATTTGGGCAGAAAATTTAATACAGGGAATTAGATGTTTATAAAACTGTTACAAGGTTTCTAGCCTGGGTCTCTTGAAATGACTCAGAACACTACAGAACTGAGCTTAGTACAAGAGCACACATCCTAACCACGACCCTATCAGAAAGTCAGAGTTGGAACGTTGCTGACACAACAGCTGAAATTGCCTCTTGACAGTCATAAAGTTGGTAGATGAGCCTCTAGATGTTGCAGCAGAAAACTGCAGTCCCCAGGACCTCGCTTGCCAACAAAAAATTATCAAAGGGAAAGAAATTTGTCCTTTCAAATCATGTGTGGATTCATTCAATTGGTGGAACCAAATTTATAACCAGAACCCTAGCTGAAAAGGAATCTAGGAAATTAAGGCTTTAACTTTTCAGCCTTTGCAAACAGCAAGGCTCAGCAGGAAGAAGAAAACTGAAGCTGAGCGAGCCAATCCATATCACTCATTATGGTATCTTGCATGATATATTTTGATGTATTTGCTTTCACTAGTGGGTCAAAAAGGGGTGCAACAGTGTCTTATATGACTTTTCTAATCCCAAATACTTAGCCCAGACATGACATCAAGAGATATTTGTAGAATGAAGAATAGTTCTTTACCATCTCCTATTTATATTGCCACCAAGTTTATAGGAGAATATGGGGCACTGTTGGGCTCATTATTGACTTGACATGCTCCATGTATACTGAAGAGCCAGCGGGTGAGCCTGAAAAGCCAGATATGGACTGGAAAAGCAAGATCTATTATACCAAATTCAGCCATTTCTCAAATGACAAGTAGGTATGCTAGCATACCACTTTCTGTATTGGAATATGCCCAAACTCCAGATCCACATATATGGGGAATTTCCTAATACTTTCCTAAACCAAATTTGATCACAAAAATTTAGGAAAAAAGCAGACTGGATATTTGGAAAGTAGCCTCTGGGCTTCAGGAGAAAAGTCTCAGTGTTGCTGCCACCAGGAAGACTTTGAGGTTGGTTTTTCACCACATTAAAAAGTCTTTAATGGCTCCCATTTACTCAAAATAAAATAAAATAAAATTTTCTTTTTTCTTTTTTTTTTTTTTTGAGATGGAGTCTTGCTCTGTCACCCAGGCTGGAGTGCAGTGGCGCGATCTCGGCTCACTGCAAGCTCCGCCTCCCGGGTTCATGCCATTCTCCTGCCTCAGCCTCCCGAGTAGCTGGGACTACAGGCGCCCGCCACCACGCCCAGCTAATTTTTTGTATTTTTAGTAGAGACGGGGTTTCACCATGTTAGCCAGGATGGTCTTGATCTCCTGACCTCATGTTTTGCCCACCTCGGCCTCCCAAAGTGCTGGGATTACAGGCGTGAGCCACCACTCCCAGCCAACATTTTCTTACTATGGCATTCAAGACCAATTACTATAAGGTCCTTAACTACCTTTACAAAACCATCCCCTTACACTTGCACTTCCAAGTGTCTGCTCCTGATCCAGATGAGCCATAGGCTTGCCTCCGTGTTTTGCTCTTGACATTTTCCTTTGTGAATAATGTCCTATTTCTTCCTATTTCGAACTCAGTTTTCTCTGTTTTATGCACTCTCTATACTTTACAATCTTGTCCCTATACTGCCTCTTCTATGAAGCTCTCTTAAGGGACCTGGTTCTTTAATATTCCTCCCTCTGCCCACCTGCTAGTCCACTGCCTATTCCACTTATTACATATGCCTTGAATTGGTATCTTGTTTTTGCCTATGTGCGCTGTATTTCACTTAAAGTGTTAGCTGCTTCACAGTAGTAACTCATCTTATAATATTTTTTTGTCTCCATTCACTTGTCCAGTAACTTACATCTTTGTTAAATGTCTGATTGTGGGTAGGAATGAGATGATGACATAATTGTATTTTTTCTTAAATTTTATTTAGAGTATTTTTGATAACCAAAGCAACACAATTTTGTTAAGTACCTACTATGTGTTCCCCCTTTAGCTATTCATTCTGGAAACTTCTACTCATAAAATATTAAGGTAAAATATCATCTCTAGAGATTTTCCCTAGCTGGCCTCTGCCCCAGTAGGCTGGGTTTTATTATATTAATGTATCACATCACTTAGTGCACTGTACCAAAAACCATTCCCAAACATCAGTCACTCAAAATAATGATCATTTATTTCTCATCATTCAGTGGGTCGGTAATTTGGGTTGAATTCAGAATCTCTGCTCCACATGGTTGGCTGGGTTTACTCATCTAGAGAGAGATAGCTGGGAAGGCTGGGCTGCCCCCACTCCATATGGTCTATCATCTTCAGCGAGGCTGGCGTTGACTTGTTTTCATGGTTGAAGTGTCCCAAGGGATGAGAGAAGATGCTGCAAACAGTTATACAATGTGGCTTCTGCTACATTCCATTGAAAAATCACATCACAAGAGCAGCCAGCTTCAAGAGACAAGAGAATAGACTTCACCTTTCGATGAAAACAGTTGCAAAGAATCCATGGCCATTTTTATCCACTAATTCAGTGCATTCCACCTGTGTATTGTCTATCTCCATAACTAGATTGAGGAATCTTCATGAGCCTCCTCTTGATACTGATTTTAATGTACTGAGTGACTGGCACAGTGTAAACTGCTCAATATGGAGTGAATAAATATCAGTTGCATGTTAGGCAGTGATCAGAATACAAATCTATGTGGAATACAAGACATAGTCCCTGTTCTTGAGTAACCCATAGTGCCTGGTGCCATCCGGTAGGAGAGAAAAAAATGGTGAGACAAAATTTAAAGGGTGTTTTCAAACAACAGAAAAAGTACTATTCCAACAGGAAAATGCAAAAACTAATTACTATATAAATGGGACACACAGGTCAGATAAGCAAGCACACGTTGAATCTGGTATTTGCATTAAGACTTGCATTATGTTTTGAGGAGGGGATTTGGATTCTTAAATAATTGGGCATATGAATTCATAACTAGCCGGTCATTCCATTAGTAGATGGAACATGTGAGAAATATCCCAGGGACAAAAAAAAAATTTTTATTTTCAAAAAGAGTGGCTGCCCACTTTGCCCAGAGCAGGAACTGGTGTCAGGATATGCGGGAAGATTACAGGAGAAGCTTGGTATAAGGCTCTTTGGATTTTATCTTCTTGGTGATAGGATTTTAGAGCAGAAGAGCATTGGGATGAATATTACATGTGGAGAGTGAAACATGGGAGCAGATGTAAAATGTATGGAAATGGGAGAGACAGAAAGTAAAAAAGAGGCAAGTATGATGAGAGCCTAAAGATCACGGTAGCTGAATGAATAAGAGCAAGCAAGGAGACTGGCAGTTTTGGAGCCCTGCTGCTCTTCAAGATGTATTGTTTTATCTAATCTTTTGATAATACTGTGATATAGATGTCCAAGCCACCAATTTACAGATAAGAAAAGTAAAGCTCAGATAATTTAGGTAACTAGCTTAAGACCATACACTAATTAATAAAAAAAAAAAAAAGCTGGTTCTTCTTACCTTTGAGTTAAATGTTTGATTACGCACTTCTCAGGATATAAAAATATTTTATTATGGCCGGGTGCGGTGGCTCATGCCTGTAATCCCAACTCTTTGGGAGGCCGAGGTGGGCAGATCACGAGGTCAGGAGTTTGAGACCAGCCTGGCCAACACGGTGAAACCCTGTCTCTACTAAAAATACAAAAATTAGCTGGGCTTGGTGATGCGTACCTGTAGTCCACCTACTCAGGAGGCTGATGCAGGAAAATCACTTGAGCCTGGGAGGTGGAGGCTGCAGTTAGCTGAGATCGCACCACTGCACTCCAGCCGGGGCCACAGAGCCAGACTCGATCTCAAAAAAAATATTATCCAACTTTTATTTTACCACAAGTTTGTGCAAGTTCCTCATCACGTGATGAGTGGGTTTCTAACATAATAATATGTTGATCCTGCTCTCTCTATTTCTGCTCATACAGTGGAGAAGGAAACAGGCACTTCAAACAAACTTCACAGGAGTGAAAAGGAGACAGAAAAAGGAAGATTGAGCACAGAAATATTAAGCCACTAAGTTCCAACCTAAGTATTAAGTATTCATTCAGTATATATTTAGCACTTAATAACATACACACCCTGAGCAGAGTGCTGGGGAGAAAAGATAAATCAGGCATGATTCCTATCTTTCAAAAGATAGAAAGAGGAAATTGTCAAGTAACAAATAAATACAATAATTATGGCAAAAGAACATACGAAATTCTGCACACAGTAAACCAGGAGCCACATAGGAAAGGCCTAGTTCATGCTGAAGCATTGAAGAAAAGCTTCATAAAGGCAACAGACCTTGATTTCATGTTGATAGATGAGAAGGTGGCCAAGTAGTAAAAAGGGACAAGGAAGCTAGGACAGGTGTTGAGGATATGAAGCAGGATATAGTGACTACAGTATACAAAGAAAGACAGGATCGTATTGTGGGGAGGACAGATTATGTGGGACAGGATATTTTAACTGGAGACAGTATAAAACAACAGGTAAAAGGGCCAGACTGATCTGCTTCAAATCCCAGTCTGCACTTTCTCCCAATTGGCTTTAGCCCAGTTGTTCAGCTTGCCATTAAGCCACCATCTGTAAAATAGAAATGATAATACCAAGCCTCTCTCTCCTGACTTCTAGACCAACTGGGGATCAGACAAGTGTCAAATAGAAATCAAAATATCAGCTTCAATCTGATAAATCTGGATTGGTGTCTCTGGCTTGGATTTGCTATAAAAATGCACTCCCTAACACTTGCTCCGTAGCTCATATGTTGGGCCCTACAGGTGAGGAGAGTTGGAGCTTCTGAGAAAGCACTTAGCATGGAGAACTGAAGTCGACTCGCACCCCCATTGAGTCTTGTTACTGAGAGTATGATCCACAGAGTGGCCACCTCAGCATTATCTGGGAGCTTAATCAAAATGCAGAATCTTAGACCCCAGACAAGACCCACTGGGTCAGAGTCTGCACTTGAAGATCCTCCAGCTGACTCTTATACACATTACAGTTTGACAAGTGCTGAGAAACTAGACTAGTAGATTATTTTCTCCATCTGGTCTATTAGATCCATCACTTCTTCTCCCGTGGGAGCAAGCCAACGAAAGATGGACAAGAGGCAGAAGGCCCTATCTGATACCTCTGTGAGGGCATAAGTTCCTGCTTGGGGCTGGCAGGAATTCAGGATGGGTGACAGGATACCTTCCCTTACAAATATCAGAATGGGGGAGGAAGATGACCTCATGCATGTGACTCTAATGACTGCACAACACATTCCCCAAGATTTCAAATGCAGGAAAAGGGGGAAATTGAAGAGAAAGACAGAGAATCTATTTGTGGTATATTTCATAATTTTACTTTTTATGTTAAAAACATAGATCTATCTAGAATTTCTTCTAAGTCTCTGCTCAAATGTCATCTAACAAGATATTCTCTGAGCACCCTATACAAACCCCTACCACTGCCACCACCACAACCACCACCAATGCTCAGCACTCCCTGATCCTCTTTCTCTGCTTTATTTTTTCTCCTCCTGTCACCACTAGAATGTAAGTTCCATAAGGAGCTACAGCTATTTTGTTCATTATTGTTTCCCTGGTACCTAGAATAAAGTGACCCTGAGAACATAAGACACGTACTTGATAAACATTTGTTAGATGAATGAATATGAGTTTGAGGTCCTATTAGACATCAGGTGAAGTTGCTCAATAATAATTGTAGTATTTGTAAGTCTGGAGCTCAGGAGAAAATCTGGGTTTGAGGTAAAGATTGAGAGTCATCAGCTATTGGTACAAGCTGAAGCTAGGAGGCTGGATGAGATCACTTGCAGAGAGTTCTGCATTTGAGGGAAAGATGATTTGTTGGTTTCATTGAGATGATGTGGGATTCCAGAAAAAAAAAAAGATGTGTCATCCCCAGCTGGGCCTGGCCACAGAGCATAAGCAGATCACTGTGAACACCATCAAATGCTGCCATCTCTTCCTGTTTTTCTTGGTCACAGCTAGCAATTTCTTGGAAAGTTTTATGATGTCACGAAGGGTAAAACAGCCAACAACAGCATTTATCATTTATGGAAAAACACTTTAATAATTCACTGCTTCAATTAACATTTGCTGTTAATCAAGATTTCATGTCTGAAAGCCTCATACCCAAGCCCAGCAGGTCGGTTTAGAATCAAGCTCCATCTGTCTGTCATGGAGCCAACAAAGAGACAAATGCCAGACCTACTTAAAGCTGGAAGTGGAGGCCACCTTCCAAAGCAGGCTGCTCCTGGGAGTGGGGCACCCCATGAAGTTAAGAGAGGCAAACTTCTGCCTCCAAAAGGGGTCTGGATTTCCCAAAGGAAACTGCAGAGTGTTTTTCCTACATAAGAGAAAGACACATTAGTTTGCTACTGAGTCTCTTACATATTCTTTAATAACAGATTATGTCACTCCTTCATTTATTCCTTTCCCACAAGCTGAAGAGGCATTCTATATTATTATCTATATATATTCTGGAGCAGATAAAGCCTTGTTCCCATATTTGATAATTTATAACCTGGTCATTTGTAGATAACTGTTTCTACCAAAAGCTAGCACTACCCCCTGAACAAGAAAGAAGCAAGAAAGGATGCTTTTTACCATTTGTTGTTAACTGCTGTTCTAAGATGTATAAAATCTTACTTAGAAAAGGTGTAACTACAATAAGCACACTTTTAATAAGATAAAACCACATGAACAGTTCACTAGATAGCATCAAATGATCACAGATCCTACTCTCTGATTTAAATAGCAGTTACTTCATCTCTTTGAGCCTCAGTTTCTCCATCTATAAAATGGAACTAATATAGCATGTAACTCAGAAGGTTGTAAGTATTAAAGGAGACACTGGAAAGCATTTTGCATATTTGTTTTCTCCTGGAAAACACTAAAACATTTTAACTATTTATGTGTAATAGGTGAGATGCACTTCATGCTCTTAAGAAAAATACATGAACACATCTGCTTTATTTTTTAAATTATTCATCTCAACCTTTTCATTCATTCAATAAACACTTATTGGATGACTACTATGCACTAGACATCATTCCAGGAGCTGAGAATCCATTCAAAATCCCCACTCCCATGGAACTTGCAGGCTAATTCTGGGAGAAATACTAGTGAATGAATTCATAACTAGCCAGTCATTTAATTATTCATTCATCTTTCACCATTCTCTTCCCACCCCCACCATATTAGACAATATATTAGTAGCTAGTTTAGATGAGAGAGATGATATAAAGATAGGTAGATAGATAAAAAAAAACTTTAAAAATGGTAATTTGAAAATATCAGAGTGATAAGAGTGGGAACTACTTTAACTTGGGTGTCTGAAAAAGGCCTCTCTGGGGATGTGCCATGGAAACTAAGGAGTCAGAGGAAATACAATGCAGGCAAAGGGAATAGTAATTGCAGAGGCCCTAAGGTGGGAAGGAACTTTCCTGTTCCACATACAGAAAGTCTCCTGGCTGGAGGGCAAAGGGAAGAATGCTAAGAGAAGGGACTGGAGAGAGTCAGACCTTGTAGGGCATTGTAGGCTAGTATGGGGAGATTTGATTTTATTATGAACAGGATGTTAAGCCATTTGAGTATTTCAGCAAGGAAGTGGCAAGTTTGGTTTACATTTTTAAAAGTTAACTCTGTGCAAAGAGTGACTTCTAGAATGAGTCCTGAGCTTATTCCTCCCACACCATGCTCCTATATTGAGATGACCTCATCCTTCCCTTCTATTATCATAGCTCTGCCTGTTTGCTCTGATAAAAAACAGTGAGACTCTGGCAGAGCTGCCAGAGGAAGGCTTTGTCGTTGCTGGTTCCATCAAAGGACTTTGGTTTTTAAGAGTTTTAGCCGAGGTGGGCCGGGCGCAGTGGCTCACGCCTGTAATCCCAGCACTTTGGGAGGCCGAGGCGGGTGGATCGTGAGGTCAGGAGATCGAGACCATCCTGGCTAACACGGTGAAACCCCGTCTGTACTAAAGAATACAAAAATTTAGCCGGGCGTGGTGGGGGGCGCCTGTAGTCCCAGCTACTTGGGAGGCTGAGGCAGGAGAATGGCGTGAACCTGGGAGGCTAGGAGCTTGCAGTGAGCCGAGATTGCGCCACTGCACTCCAGCCTGAGCGACAGAGCGAGACTCCGTCTCAAAAAAAAAAGTTTTAGCCGAGGTGGATTGTTAAATTACAACTGGTTATCAGCAGTGACTATCCTGATAGAGATCACCTCTGCCAGATATGAGAGACTTGGTTGCCCCTCACAGATGAACAGAGCTGAAAAAAAAAAGGGCTCTGCCACATCCAGATTACAGTGAGGCCAGGGACTCCACTGACATGGCCATGCAGTACACTAGCTAATCTCTTTCTTGCTCTTATTTCTTTCTTTATGGAACATATGTGCTCTACTAAACTCAGTTTTATAGTTAATTTACGTAAACTGTATATAAATATGCCTTTTATTTCTGTTATCAACGTAGACATTATAAATGCACTGAAAGAAGTTTCAAAAGAAGATACTGGCGGATGAAATACGTTTCTGTGGATCAAAAACAAATCAAAAACTGAAAATCAAATGATACACCAGGGAACATTTGCAGTAACATAACAGATCAAGTGTTAATATATCTGGAATACAAATTCAAATGAAAACAATGATAGTAATATTTCACCCATCATAGTAGCAAACTTTATTCTAAAATGAGAATGCTCAATGCTGGCAAGGGTACAGTATAATTATTTCTGGATAGCAATTTAGTAATAGGTTTCCAGAGTTTTAAATATCTTCATATCCTTTGATCCATGAGTTCTACTTCTGGATTAGATTTTAAAATAAATATACATATAATGAGATCAAAGACTTAAATACACAGCAGTCTTTTAAAGCATAAGTTATAAGCACAAGTTAAATGTCTAATATTTGGAGAATGGTTAGGGAAATTATATGAAGTCCATATAGTGGGACATGATGCTACTGTTAAAATAATGCTCGTGAAGTTTTGAATGAAATGAGAGTTGTTATGAATTTTTTTTGAAACGAAAATGCAATATATTAATTTATATGTAACATTATTTCAATTATGTAGAATTTCATTGCAAAAGATCTGGAAAAGCATATATTAAAATGTTACCTGTATTTCCCTTAAAATTGTAGGATAATTTTTGCTTTGTCACACTATTATGCTATTTCCACATTTCTGCATTGAGAATATGATTTTATAATTAGAAAACACAGCAAAATACAATACAAACTCATATTAAAAGAAATCAAGATGCCTTAAAGAAATGGCTGAATTCAAATTTGTAGTATAAAATTTATAAGATATGCATGAAGCATTTTGTTGGTACCCAAAAGTGGAGAAGCTTTCAAAGATTGTTGGGGTAGGTCATTCCAAAAGAACACAGGAGTCAACTTTGAAGGGGCTCCCATTGTCCAAACATGAGACAATCTGAGGACCAAAAACAAAATGAACAACTACAAGTAATTGGACCATATCAAATCTGTTTTTAAATGCTTGAGTTCTTAATGTCACTAGAACAAAAATTACTGGTCACCTTTCAAGGTTTTTAAGGAACTGAATAATTATTCCAAAAACTGAGAAATAAATAGAAATGATCAAGCATTTATTCAGGTTTTCTCTACACAAACTATATCTTAGAGAAATGCTTCTCAAAGTGTGGTCCCTAGAACACAAGCATCATCTGAAGATCTGTTCAAAATATAAAATCTTAGGTCCCACTTTACACCTACTGGACTAAAATTCTGTGGGTGGGCCTGAGCCTGAAAGGATTAAAATGGGGATCTCTAAGAATTAGATCAAATTCTGACTTGGTTTTTATTTTCTTATTTCTTCAGCAATTAGAAGGCTCTGTGGTGGGCTTTCTTTATCAAAGAGATATAAAATCCAAGATTCATGTGTGAGCTTACAGGAAAGAGGCTCAGGTAGCATTTCAGCTTGTATTATACAAGGGCATACAGATCAACCTGTCCTAAGTGAGAATTCTCCAAGTGCCCCAGCATAGCTCAAGTGAGGACTGCATTGGGGTTTGGGACCAAAGTCCTGGCTAGTACACTGATGCTCCTCTCTTACCCATTGTCTCAGTAAATATACCTTCCCCCAAATAATACTAAGACTATACAATTTCACAGATCAGCTCTTCAAAACCAGTAGGTAAATAATTCCAATCCCTGTGAAATGGTTCCAGAACATAAAGAAAGGTTACGAAGTAAACATAACACTGATATCAAATTCTGACATAGACAGTGCTAAATCAGATATTACTAACTAGTATTGTATATGAAAATGATTCTAAAGCCCTACATTGGGAAAAGCTGGTAAAATCTGAATAAAGTATGTAGTTCAATCATAATTTACCAAGGTTACTTCCTTAGGTGTGACAAATGTAGCATAGTAATATAAGATATTAACCATACGGGAAACTGAGTGAAGGGTATATGGAAACTCTCTATAGTATCTTTATAACTTTTCTGTGAATCTAAAATTAGTATAAAATAAAAAGGTTTTAAAAGTTATTAGAACAATATTTTTATTATAGTTTAAGTTCTGGGATACATGCCATGGTGGATTGCTGCACCCATCAACCCTTCATCTATATTAGGTATTGCTCCTAATGCTATCCCTCCCCTAGCCCCCCACCCACCGATAGGCCGCGGTGTGTGATGTTCCCCTCCCTGTGTCCATGTTCTCATTGTTTAACTCCCATTTATGAGTGAGAACATGCAGTGTTTGGTTTTCTGTTCCTGTGTTAGTTTGCTGAGGATGATGGCTTCTAGCTTCATCTATGTCCCTGCAAAGGACATGAACTCATCCTTTTTTATGGCTGCATAGTATTCCATGGTGTATGTGTGCCATATTTTCTTTATCCACTTTATCATTGATGGGCATTTGGGTTCTTTCCAAGTCTTTGATATTGTGAATAGTGCTGCTGTAAATATACGGGTGCATGTGTCTTTATAGTAGAATGATTTATAATCCTTTGGGTATATAACCAGTAATAGGATTGCTAAATCAAATGGTGTTTCTGGTTCTAGATCCTTTAGGAATCGCCACACTGTCTTCCACAATGGTTGAACAAATTTACACTCCCACCTACAGTGTAAAAGTGTTCCTATTTCTCGACATCCTCTCCAGCATCTGTTGTTTCCTGACTTTTTAATGATCGCCATTCTAACTGGCATGAGATGGTTTATCATTTTGGTTTTGATTTGTGTTTCTCTAATGACCAGTGATGATGAGCTTTTTTTCATATGCTTGTTGGCCACATAAATATCTTCTTTTGAGAAGTGTCTGTTCATATCCTTTGCCCACTTTTTGATGGGGTTGTTTTTTTCTTGTCAATTTGTTTAAGTTCCTTGTAGATTCTGGATATTAGCTCTTTGTCAGATGGATAGACTGCAAAAATTTTCTCCTATTCTGTAGGTTGCCTGCTTACTCTGATGATAGTTTCTATTGCTGTGCCGAAGCTTTTTAGTTTAATTAGATCCCATTTGTCAATTTTGAATTTTGTTGCCATTGCTTTTGGTGTTTTAGTCATGAAGTCTTTGCCCATGCCTAGGTCCTGAATGCTATTACCTAGGTTTTCTTCTAGAGTTTTTTGGTTTTAGGTCTTATGTTTAAGTCTTTAATCCATCTTGAATTAATTTTTGTGTAAGGTGTAAGGAAAGGGCCCAGTTTCAGTTTTCTGCATATGGCTAGCCAGTTTTTCCACACCATTTATTAAATAGGGAATCCTTTCCCTATTGCTTGTTTTTGTCAGAGTTGTCAAAGATCACATGGTTGTAGATGTGTGGTGATATTTCTGAGGCCTCTGTTCTGTTCCATTGGTCTACATATCTGTTTTGGTACCAGTACCATGCTGTTTTGGTTACTGTAGCTTTGTAGTATAGTTTGAAGTCAGGTAGTGTGATGCCTCCAGCTTTGTTTTTTGTGCTTAGGAATGTCTTGGCTATTAAGGCTCTTTTTTGGTTCCATATGAAATTTAAAGTAGTTTTTTCTCATTCTGTTAAGGTAGCTTGATGGGGATAGCATTGAGTCTATAAATTACTTTGGGCAGTATGGCTATTTTCATGATATTGATTCTTCCTATCCATGAACATGGAATGTTTTTTTCATTTGTTTGTGTCCTCTCTTGTTTCCTAGAGCAATGGTTTGTAGTTCTCCTTGAAGAGGTCCTTCACATTCCTTGTAAGTTGTATTCCTAGGTATTTTATTCTCTTAGTAGCAATTGTGAATTTTGAATTCACTCATGATTTGGCTCTCTATTTCTCTATTATTGGTGTATAGGAATGCTTGTGATTTTTGCACATTGATTTTGTATCCTGAGACTTTGCTGAAGTTGCTTATCAGCTTAAGGAGATGTTGGGCTCAGATGATGGGGTTATCTAAATATATAATCATGTCATCTGCAAACAGAGACAATTTGACTTTCTTTTCCTATTTGAATACCCTTTATTTCTTTCTCTTGCCTGATCGCCCTGGCCAGAACTTCCAATACTATGTTGAATGGGAGTGGTGAGAGAGGGCATCCTTGTCTTGTGCTGGTTTCCAAAGGGAATTCTTCCAGCTTTTGCCCATTCAGTATGATATTGGCTGTGGGTTTGTCATAAATAGCTCTTATTATTTTGAGATACGTTCCATCAATACCTAGTTTATTGAGAGTTTTTAGCATGAAGCAGTGTTGAATTTTATCGAAGGCCTTTTCTGCATCTATTGAAAGGTCTGGTTATCCACAAAGGGAAGCCCATCAGACTAATAGTGGATCTCTCTGCAGAAACCCTACAAGCCAGAAGGGAGTGGGGGCCAATATTCAACATTCTTATAGAAAAGAATTTTCAACACACGAATTTCATACCCAGCCAAACTAAGCTTCATAAGCAAAGGAGAAATAAAATCCTTTACAGACAAGCAAATGCTGAGAGATTTTGTCACCCCCAAGACTGCCTTACAAGAGCTCCTGAAGGAAGCACTAAATATGGAATGGTAAAACTGGTACCAGCCACTGCAAAAACATACCAAATTGTAAAGACCGTCAACACTATGAAGAAACTGCATCAACTAATGGGCAAAATAACCAGCTAGCATCATAATGACAGGATCAAATTCACGCATAACAATATTAACATTAAATGTAAATGGGCTAAATGCCCTAATTAAAAGACACACACTGGCAAATTGGATAAAAAGTCAAGACCCATCGGTGTGCTGTATTCAGGAGACCCATCGGTGTGCTGTATTCAGGAGACCCATCTCATGTGCAAAGACAAACATAGGCTCAAAGTAAAGGGATGGAGGAATGTTTACCAAGCAAATGGAAAGCAAAAAAAGCAAGGGTTACAATCCTAATCTCTGATTAAACAGACTTTACACACACAAAGATCAAAAAAGACAAAGAAGGGCAATACATAATGGTAAAGGAATCAATGCAACAAGAGCTAACTATCCTAAATATATATGCACCCAATACAGAAGCATCCAGATTCATAAAACAAGTTCTTAGAGACCTATAAAGACACTTGGACTCCCACACAATAATAGTGGGAGACTTTAACACCCCACTGTCAATATTAGACAGATCAATGAGACAGAAAATTAACAAGGGATATTCGGGACTTGAACTCAGCTCTGGACCAAGTGGACCTAATTATGTGTCAAGGGAAGGCTCTTGACACATAATATGTGTTTAATAACAATCACGTTATTGAATATATTTGTTTAATTTCTTAGTTTCCTAGGTTAGCTTTCCTGGACAGAAAATAATTGAGACCAATTTTACAATAAACATTGATTCCTCAGAACATATAATTTTTCCTAGTACATGAACACATTAACATACTGGAATTATCACAGTTGAGTGAACTAGTCTTCCCAGAGCTTTGGCCTCTTTAAATCTGACCTATAGGACTTAAAGGCCTTGTGCACTAATGGGCCCCTCTTAGTGCAACTTCTAGGGGTCTTGGCCTGAAATTAACAAAATTCCAATTTGCATCATCTTGTGTTTAAAATAAGTTGGAACAATTGTGAATTCCCTCATGCATACACTTCTTCAGATGATTGGTGACCTTGGGAAAATGTTCCCAGGCAGGAACACTCAGAAAGAGATCAAAGTTGGAAGGGAAGAGTCTACCAATTAGGAACTAAGATCCCTGAGACATCAGAAGACTATGAAGCAGTCTAATTGGTTTCTTGAGAAGACAACAGTTGGATCAGACATTGCCCCCCTAAACCTCCCACCATTACGTTGGATCACAGAGGCATCAATAATCTGAGTAAGGTGCTTCCTTCAAACAGCTCCTGCAGTCAAGGGTGCGGGCGATTCACCCTCTTTGCTCCATCAGGTATAGGCTGCATTTATTCTGGGTCTGCTCTTTTAATCCTCTGTGAGCCATTCACATGTGTAAGGCCTCTGGTCTATTATCAGAGTGTAATCTTTTCACTTTTCAAAATAGCTTCTCTTTGGAGCCAGAAAGCTTAAATAGGGCACCAGAGTGCTAATCACCTCCTGTTCATTTTTGGGAATGGCAAGGCAACTGTGCAACAGTCAAAACAGAGAAGAAAAGCTGGATTCCCTTGGTCTGACCAGGGATGCAGTAATACCACCCTTAACTCCCATTACAAAGACATTGGCCTGGGATCCAATTAGTGTAAAGGGGAGAAAGCATGACATGCACTGCAACTGTAGAAAATAGAACAGTAATCAGCACTTAGTTTCTCTCGTAGCCATTAGACTCTTGGTAGAATAAGTTAGACGTTTCTGGAATAAATTCATCACCATGACATGGAGGAAAAGACTTCTGAATCATCTGTCTTTTGGCTTGATATGAAAACACAAGTTCATCTTCCTGGAACCTTCTCCTCCTTAGTCACGATTTCTGTGCCCATTTTTATTTTATGATCACTCAAGTCCCTAAACATTGATTCCTTAGTCAAGAAGAAACATAAATAAAATGCTACAGATTTCTACATAGTTAACCCCAATCTTCCTTAGATTTACATACATTTTTAAGACACAATGAAAGTCATTTTAATTAGGGGGTTTATTTAACTTGAGAGAAGAAAAAGCCTGTTTAATTCTCCTTTGGGAAGGGTTGTGGGGAGGTTAGAGCAAGCCTAGCAGGGGCACAGTCAAGGAAGGCCAGTGTCAGAGTTGGGTGCCAGGATTCTCAATGGAAGTAGGAAGAGTCAGCCTCCAAAGTATCTAGAAGTGGATAAAATCAGAAGATGAGGATAAGCCATGTCTTAGAGGACACTATGGCCAAAGCCAGGAATGTTACGTCTCTATTCTACATAGCCCACATCTAATCAAGCAGCAAATCCTTTCCGCTATACCTTCAAAATATATTCACAGTTGCATCGCTTCTTCCTGCGTGTACTATTACAACTTGTTCCAAGCTACCATCAACTCTTTCTCAGATAACTCCGATAGACTCCTAACTCTTCTCTCTTCTTCTAATTTTATCTACCCCTACCCCAATCCTATTCTATATATGACAATCCAAGATACACTATTAAAACATATAAGATGATGGCACTTCCCTGCTCAAAGC
This sequence comes from Homo sapiens, assembly GCF_000001405.40. Classification (NCBI taxonomy): domain Eukaryota; kingdom Metazoa; phylum Chordata; class Mammalia; order Primates; family Hominidae; genus Homo; species Homo sapiens. Next base: position 7,145,588 of record NC_000011.10, on the reverse strand, counting down.
CCTTCAGGAGCTCACAGTCTCAGATTATAGTCAAAATCTTTACCATGGCTTAGCAGGCTCTACATCCTATGCTCCCCTTGCTCTCACTACAACTATAACCTCTTACCAGTCTCCCCCACTCACTCTGTTCCAGCCTTTACACTGGTATTTCCCTTTATTGAAATGTTCTTCTCACCAGATACAAGCATGGCTCTCACTCTCAATTCCTTTCAATCTCTGTTCAGGTGTTATAACCCCCAGTCTCCTTGTCTTTCTTACACTGATTTTATTTTTCTTCATAACACATACCATAAATACACAGTATACAGCATATATATATAAAATATATATACATAATATATATATAATATATATTATATATATATATATATAATAAGGAGAAGGAGAGAGAGAGTTTATATTTTGACCAGTACCAGAGGTAAGTCCCATTAAAACAGAGACATTGTTTTACTCACTGGTGTATCCCCAGCATCTAGAATAAAGGCTGGCATATGACAGACATTCAGTCAATATTTGTTGATTAAATGAATGAATTAAAGTCAATTCAGTATTTTAGTCAGAGAGTGAGGACAGAGTTATAACCAAGAGACCAAGCTAAGGACTAGAAGCTAGGAGGACATAGCAAAGAAGAAGGACTAGGGGCTAGAGCAGAATCAAAGTAAGATGAGTTATAGACTCAGAAGACTGAATCTCACTTTTATTGCCCACCAAATGTTTGACATGGGATGTGTCAACCTGGTTTGAAGCCTTATTGTCTAAAAACCAGGAAGCCACTAATTCAGGGAACACACTTCATTCCCCCAGGAGAAATCAGAACATTTCCTCATCTCCAGCTGTGGTCCTATACTCTGGAATTCTTCAAACTCCCAAGGAAATTATATTGTATTGTCTTCATCTGTATTCCCAGTGTCTGGCCTGGTGACAGGAATAGGACAGAATGCTTAATAAATGATTATTTCAATGACCAAACTGTGAATATATTAAGAATCCCCTTTGCAAACTCTTAGAAGGTGGACTGTAAACTCTAGGTCTGGTATGAGCTGAAACTCTCTGATGTTCCACTCTCCCTCTGCACTCTTTTCCTTCTTTCAAAAGTCCAGAGTCCTTCCCAGCCCAATATTATACCTTGAAAGAGAAGACAGAACCAAACCAGGACTGAGACATCTACTTTCTCTCCATCTGCAAAAATATTTATTAGAGCATGATCCTCAAGCAGGGTCTGTTCTGCTCTTTCTTAGTTTTGCCAGTGGCTAAAAACAAAGCACCCTACCCTTTCTTTCCCACACAGCATTTTTTGCAATTCTAGCATATTTGAACACAAATTTTCTAGACACAATTCTTAAACATAATTGTCTTTTATTTCAGCTTTATTCACACAAATGTTTAATAAGTTACTTCTCAGAGAATAGTGCATGTAAGGCAGTCTTTGATTGTGTGTTCTTTTCTTTCATCTTAGATTGTCCTTTAGTATCTAAGCTGATCAGACAGCTCCCTCTACAGTCTTCTTAGCATCTTCATGTGCCTCTTCTATTTTTTCTCTTTACTTAGTATATTTTGTATTTTTAAGTCAGAATTTTCCAATACTTTCAAAGCCAACTTTCAATTTAAAGTCTCATGGTACAGAACTATGATCATCATTTTTCTTATCTTTAGAATATCTACGTTAAATATTTCATATCTCTATTTCCAAATTTAATATGACCCTTTCACTTTTGTGCAATTTTTACAGCAGCAAAAAATTTCTCCTTATTTATAAGAATTCGACCCTGTATTAGTCAAGATTCTCCAGAGAAACAGAACCAACAGGATATATATATCCTGTTATGGTCATATTATTGCTTAATTGCAAGGATATGTTCTGAGAAATGTGTTGTTAGCTAATTTCATTGTTGTCCAAACATCAGAGTGTACTTACACAAACCTAGATGGTACAGCCTACTGTATACCTAGATTGAATGCTGTGGCATATTCCTCCTAGGGTGCAAACCTGTACAGTATTTTACCGTACTGAATACTGTAGGCAACTGTAACTCAATGGTAGTAGTTGTGTATCTAAACATATGTAAATACAGAAAAGGTAATGTGTTATGCTATGATACTATGAGAGCTACAACATCACTAGGCAGTAGGAATTTTTCAGCTCCATTATAATCTTATGACACCACCACCATATATGCAGTCTGTCATTGAGCAAGACTTTGTTATGCAGCACATGACTGAATTGGTAAACTGTGTGTGTGTGTGTGTGTGTGTGTGTGTGTGTGTGTGTGTGTGTGTGTGTATCATATATATATGTATAATATATGTATATATTATATATATATTCTTATTACTCTCTCCTGCTGGCTTTGTCCACACTCTCTGAGGAGAGGGTCCATGCTCAGTCTCCGTATTTCCTTGCAGGCACTTACACATGGAGAAAGACTTATTAAAAGGAATTGGCTTATATGTTTATGGAGGCTGGGAAGTTCCAAGATCTGCAGTTGCTGAGACCCAGGAGAGCCAGTGGTGCAAGATCCAGTTTGAAAGCTTGCAGCCTTGAAAGCCAAGAAGAATGAGTGTTTTAGGTACAGTCTGCAGGCAGGAAAAGCCTGATGTCTCAGCTCAAGCAGTCAAGCAGGAGGAGTACCTTCTTAGCCATTTTGTTCTATTCAGATCTTCAATTGATTGGATGAGGCCCATCCACATTAGGAAAGACAATCTGCTGTACTTCAATAGACAATTTGAATTGTTTATCAATTCAAATATCTACTCCAATGTATACATTTGAATTGGTATCCAATTTTAACCAATTCAAATATATACTCCAATACACAATTTGAATTGTTTACCAACTTGAATTGTTTATCAATTAAAATGTATGTACCAATGTATATGCCAGTGTATATATTTGTAGACATTGTATATATTCAATGTATACATTTGGATTGTTAAACATTAGATACATTAGATACCAATCCAAATGTATACTCCAATACACAATTTGAATTGTTTACCAATTCAAATGTTAATTTCATCCAGAAATGCACAAACTCAGAATAATATTTGACTAAATATCTTGGCATCCTGTGGCCCAGTGAAGTTGGCACATAAAATTAATCATCACGGGATTAATCACCACAGGCCCTTTGTAGCTATATCTCCCAGTGTTTGTTCTACTTTTGGAAAATAAAATTTCAAGAAGAATCCAGGTCCTTCTAGACTGCTTTCAGCCAGAGGTTCCTACAGATATCCAGTTAATTCTTATTCTCCTTCATACAATAAATATCCTGTCCCTGCCAGGTTCATAATTTGAATCAGGTATGCACATTATTCAATCATTTATTCCACAAGCAAATATTTTGTCTTGATCACCTATTATGTAGCAGGTATTTTGCCAGGAATCATCCACTTCTTTCATCTTGCTCAGGGGGCTACAAACACCCATATTCCTCTCTATTACTCTCTTCTGCCAGCTCTGTCCACACTCTCTGAGGAGAGGGTCCATGCTCAGTCTCTGGGTTTCCTTGCAGGCACTTTTCTTCTTCATATTCAAGCAGTATTTTTCTTCTTGTTGGATTTTTAATCTTATTTATTTATTTATTTATTATTTTGCACTTACTTATGGCTTGTAACTCATAGGCAAAGCTAGTCATTTATTCACAGTAAGAAAAATACAGGTAGGAAATGACACCACAACCTGGCAATGGGTTCACCCACTTGGACAGGGCAAACAGACACTGAGTGACCCTCTTGGCTAACAGTGGTTGTCAAGCCACGTCCACAATCTCAGTGTTGGAGAACTACTGAGTGTTGGGCAGAAAGATGGTACTGAAGTTGCTGCTGAAACAACAGGAGGTCGAGTGCAGTGATGGGGAATCCATTGTGGGAAAAACTCTGAAGGACCAGAGACAGGCTGCTGGCACCCAAAATATTTTTGCTTAATTGGCTGGACTGAAGTTCAGGGACAAGACAACAGTTTTTGGAAAGAGAATTGGCAAGAACAAGGCCTGACTTTGGTGGTTAAGAGTGCAGACTTTGGAGCCAGGATGTCTGGTTTCAGACTCACTTCAGAGCCAAAAAATATTGGGAAAACTATTTAATCTCTTTTTATCCTGATTTCTTTCATATGCAAAGTGAAAAAAACTAAAAGTACTCACTTCACAGGACTGTTATAAAGTGGTTTAAATCAATATATGTACACTAAAAATATGTAAATCCTCGCAATTAGAATATGTAAGCATTCCAATTTAATTTCTGTTGTTATTTTATAGGTTATCTCAATAGGAACTAATGCAGAAGGCTAATTATAGGAAGGAAATTAAGTGAGAATTGGGAATGTTTTTGGGTTTGAAAATTTAGTGAAGGTTTTCTCAGAACAGGAGATTGGGTGACTGTAACATCGTCATAAATGTGGGAGTGAAAACAATCTATCCTGTTACACTTGGTCCAGGTCTAGAAACCCTTGCTGAGAGTGTGGCTTTATAGATTAGCCCGACCTTATAAGCATGTGTTTAAGAATCTCCGGTGAGGTGGTAATGACCCCAGGCTTTAGGTATTCGGGCAGGTCAGAGTCTTAAAATTGTGTTTAACCACCTTTTTCATACAATTATTTACTGATTTTTATTATAAAATATATCATTACAAAAGAATATATAATACAAATAAAACATACACCTGTATACTTACCAACCTACATAAGGTACAGAGCATCACCAGAACCTTTAAAGTCCCCTGAGTACTCTTCCATAATCACAACCTTCACACTTCACCTATAAGTTGCCACTATCCTGGATTTTGTTAAAGATTTTTCCCATCTATATAGCGTGTCCCTAAATAATGCGTTCCTATTTTTTTTAATGTTTTGAATTTTTGTGTCATAATGTTCGTATTCTCCTGTAATTTGCATGTTTTTCTCAGCATTATGTCTTTGAGATTTATCTATGTTGACGCATGTGCCTATAGAGCTTTCATTTTCATTGTGAATAGGTGCTGTTAATTAACAAAAGTTTCAATTCACTGGAAAAATATGAACATTTTAAAATTGTAGGCATTAATGACATAGCTTTAAAACATAGAAAGCAAAATTTATTGTAATTACCGGGGAAATTAACAAGTCTACCATCATAAAAGGCTATTTTAATCTAACTTTATTAAGATTTAATAGATCAAGTAGAAAAAATCAGCAATCATACAAAAGGCAAAAACAAAAAGCAGTTATATAGATAGGAAGGAGGAATTGGTGAACATTCAAGTAAAATATTATGAAGAGAGCTAGAATGGTTTAGAGTAAGATTATTTTTTAAAATGAGCATTCACCAGAACATCCTTTTTATATGTGCCTCTTGCTGGACTGGGAACAGAAACTCAGAGATAATTACAAAATTATCAATGCTTCTCCTATACCATGCCTGCCTTTTCTGAATTCTTCCTACCAAAAAGGAACATCATTTTGATTAGTTGGATCCAGATCACTAATTGGGCCACATTTAATAATGAAAAAGGTGATTGTAGATTTAAAAATTGCCCGTATGTTGGTTCTCTCTCCTTTCTTTTCCACTTTTTCACAAAATGGCAAATTGCCTTTGGGCCACTCCCAGTAGATGCACAATTCTGAGATTGTGCCTTGGGGCTTCTAAGAAGGAACATGAAATAGAAGCCCCTTAACTGTGTCCTCCAGTACAACTTAGATGCATTCTCAGCCTTAAAGCTAAGGGCCCAGTCTATTTGGCTTCCCATTTTCCATTACTCCTTGTAGGAAGATTTCTCTTCGGAACTTAATGGGGATGTACAGCTTTGGTGTGATACACAATTCAGTTATTCCTAGGTTCCCTGAAAATAATAACACCTACAGTTTACCAAATGCCAGCATTTTTTTTTTCCTGACAAGGACACATTACTTATTTTGAGCTATCTCCCCTGAATCTGTCTCCTCCTCTGTAGGAATCATCTCTAGTTGTTCACAGTTTCTTTTTTTAAGAGTTCACTATTTACAGTATTTCCCCCATTTTCACTGGTAACTCTGTGTCCTCTCCATAAGTAAAAGAGTAGAGTAACCCTTCTTATACTCCTTTACTTCCTAAGAAACAGAAAGACTGAGCTGCTTTTAATATATATGTAACTGGTCCTTATATGAGGGAATAACTCACCCGTTACCACAGGGTATATGTGCAACCCTGGTCGTAAGGATAATGTGTCTGCATTTGAATGAGATGGCTAAACATCTCAGCCTACAATAAAACCCACAGGTATATAAAATTATTCCTGGTGTCAGTCACACAAAGAATAAGCCCATTTTTCAGATTGAAAACTGGAACTGAAAAAGTAGACAAATAGATATTCAAAAGATATATATGTAACAGATATGTAAAAAATTCTCTTTTGACCTGAGAAGTGATGAAATTTTTTAATGAAGTTCATCAGTGAGAGGGTGGAAATGGGGTGGTCAAAATTAAAACTGGTACATAGAGACTGACCAGAAACTAAAAAGCAAGGGACACAGATGAGATTTCAATGAACTAGGGCCAATACAAATCTACAAAGGGATGGTAAAATGCTACAAAACTACGATGAAGGGATTAGACCACTGGATTTTGTTAAATAAAGTATTTTGACATTCCATCAATTTCTGATTTTTGTTGTTGTTGTTGTTTGTTTGTTGTTTTTTAGATGGAGTCTTGCTCTGTTGCCAGGCTGGAGTGCAGTAGCTCAATCTCAGCTCACTGCAATCTCCGTCTCCTGGGTTCAAGTGATTCTCCTGCCTCAGCCTCCCAAGTAGCTAGGACTACAGGTGCACGCCACCACTCCCTGCTAATTTTTTTGTATTTTTAGTAGAGAGGGGGTTTCACCATGTTGGCCAGGATGGTCTCGCTCTCCTGACCTCGTGATCCATCCACCTCGGCCTCCTGAAGTGCTGGGATTACAGGCGTGAGCCACCGCACCCAGCCTATTTCTGATTTTTTTTCTATGCTATTCCCTCATATTCTATCTTTGGCAGCTTCAGTCTGTCTTGGACTTGCAAAGGCCAAAGATGTGGTGATTACCAGGCCTAGAAGGATGGGCTCAGTTGAAACTGAGCTGAGAGAGTCCTTCAAGGAGTGAATAAAATTCAGAGCACAAATTCACCACTATCTTAAGCAGCCTTTCCACTCCTGGTAATTCTTCCACCAGAGATAAACCATACTAAGTCTAGGTTTCTCTTTATTTGATGTGGGTAAGTTCTTTAAAACTTAGTTCAAGCAAGAAGAAAAGCATAGCATACACTTTTCACATTGTCCAATTCTGGCATTTCCCCAAGGTCTCTGATGAAATTGAAGTTCTTTGAGCCCCTTACTTACTGACTTATGGCCTGCCTCATCTGTCAGTTCTTTTCTGTAACTGTGGTCCTGCCACATTCTTGAAAAACTCCTTCCCAGTGTCATGGAGTTTATTTCCTAAGTGAATCCTCAATCTGGGACCCTGTTTCTGTGATCAGATCTTCCAAATGCCAAAAACTTGCCCAGATAATTCTAAATATCATTTACACTGTATTCCTAAGATACCACGCAATTATCTTGGGTTTCTTTACCACTGCCTATTCACATGAAATACACCTTTTCCTGACTTTTTAATAATTGCCATTCTGACTGGCATGAGATGGTATCTTATTGTGGTTTTGATTTGCATTTCTCTGGTGATCAGTGATGTTGAGCTTTTTTTTTTTTTCATGTTTTTTGGCCATGTAAATGTCTTCTTTTGAGAGAAGTGTCTGTTCATATCCTGTGCCTGCTTTTGAAAGGTTTTTATTTTCTTGCAAATATGTTTAAGTTCCTTGTAAATTCTGGACATTAGACCATTGTCAGATTGGTAGATTGCAAAATTATTCTCCCATTCTGTAGGTTGCCTGTTCACTCTGATGATAGTTTCTTTTGCTGTGCAGAAACTCTTTTGTTTAATTAGATCCCATTTGTCAGTTTTGGCTTTTGTTGCCATGGCTTTTGGTGTTTTAGTCACGAACTCTTTGCCCATTCCTATGTCCTGAATGGTATTGCCTAGGTTTTCTTTTAGGGTTTTTATGGTGTGGGGTTTTCCATTTAAGTCTTTAATCCATCTTGAGTTAATTTTTGTGTAAGGTGTAAAGAAGGGGTCCAGTTTCAGTATTCCGCATATGACTAGCCAGTTTTCCCAGCACTATTCGCTGAATAGGAGATCCTTTCTCCATTGCTTGTTTTTGTCAGGTTTGCTGAAGATCAGATGGTTGTAGATGTGTGGTGTTACTTCTGAGGTCTCTGTTCTGCTCCACTGGTCTATATGTCTGTTTGCTGGTGAGGCTGTGGAGAAATAGGAACACTTTTACACTGTTGGTGGGAATGTAAGTTAGTTCAACCATTGTGGAAGACAGTATGGCGATTCCTCGAGGATCTAGAACCAGAAATACCATTTGACCCAGCAATCCCATTATTGGGTATATGTCCAAACGAATATAAATCATTCTACTATAAAGACACATGCACGTACTATACGTACTATACAGACACATATAAAGACACATGCACACATGCAGCACTACGTACAATAGCAAAGACATGGAACCAACACAAATGCCCATCAATGATAGACTGGATAAAGAAAATGTGGTACATATACACCATGGAATACTATGCAGCCCTAAAAAGAATGAGATCATGTCCTTTGCTGGGACGTGGACAAAGCTGGAAGCATCATCTGCAGCAAACTAACACAGGAACAGAAAAGCAAACACTGCATGTTCTCACTCTTAAGTGAGAGTTAAACATTGAGAACACATGAACATAGAGAGGGGAACAGCACACACCAGGGCCTGTTGGGGGTTGAGGGGTGAGGGGAGGGAACTTAGAGGTTGGGTCAATAGGTACAGCAAACAACTACGGCACACGTATACCTGTGTAACAAACCTGCATCTTCTGCACATGTATCCCCTCTTTTTTTTTAGAAGAAGAAATAAAAAAAGGAAAACATAAATAAATAAATATCATTTTCTTATACTTAAAAAAAAGAAAGACACAAAAGAAATGCATCTTTTCAGGGGTCAATATGGTGGCAATAAAGGATCCAGATTCAAAATTTTAAATTGTCTTTTTTGTTCACCAATATTTTACAGGCAAAAAGGAGAAATCATTCATCCAGACATGGACAGCACCACTCCCTCAGAAACTTAAAATGCCAAAATTGCAAACATTATTTTATAAACCTTGATGTGAAACAGATATGCACAGATAGTTTAGGAACTTGGACAGTTACCAAGAGTATCTTTTGTAGAGCTGCCTTTCTCTAGTTTAGGGAGGAAGAGATGTTCTTTTATTCTAAGAACTACATTTTCTTTTTCTGTGGTCAAGGGTTTCTTGTGATACAGGGATTGATGAGAAGGAGTATATTGTAGACCATGGAGATTGAGGATACTTCTGGCAGGGGAAAGGTGAATGGAGTCTTCATCTCTCATCATACTGACTTGCTATGCTAGCCTTGGTAGCAGGGATTGTTCCCTCCTGCTCCATTTTGTATAGCTACATGAAAGAGGGCCAGGACTTGACTAGAGGTCTGTATCAATGGATCATTCCCAACTGAGTTCCACTATATGACCCTAGACATGAGAGGATCACTCTTCCAGAGGCCTAAGGTTCCATAAGATACCTTTGATAGTCTTGGGGAATGAAGGAAATTTTTGAATGAATGGAAAAATAGCCTAGAGAGAGGATAGTGACCCCACTGGCAAGACAATATGAAGAGTGAATAAAGGGAGGGCAATGGCCCACGAGATCTCTTGATAAAGACCACAAAACAGCCATACCCTGCTGTAGATCCTTAAAAGTGAAGTGCTGTGTACTGAATGAATAGAATAAAATATGCCACATAGAAGAGTTCTGGTTCTAGATGGCAGATTGAGCATACTTCGCCTTCCCTAATCCCTGAATCCTACTAAAAGAATAGTAAAATAAGCTTTTTAACTTATATAATCAAAATAGCAAAGAGAACAACAGAAGGTAAAAGAAAGTGTGAAGATGCAGTTCCAGCAAATATTTCAACATATTTCTGTAAATGAAAAGCAGATAGAAGAATGCTGACAAATTCAATAAATTGGAGGGAATCATAGTCTGAATATAGCTGCAAGGCACCAAAGGGAAAAGGGAACTATATGCCTGACAAAACCCTAGATGAGGGCAGAAGTTGGTTGCAAACTAAAAGATTAGTTGAAGATCTGTGTATAGAACAGTCTTTCAACCCTCGCCATAACAGAAAGAATCATCAGTAGGAAAAAGAATAATGAATAAATTAAATGAACTCTTAAGGGAAAACGAGGGTGTCTAATGAAGCTGTTATCATACCAAAGTTAGCCCCTACTTTCACAAAGCTTTCTCCTTTTCTAAAAATTCATTTTAAGGAAAGACTTCCAGTTACCAAGCCCACCCTAAAACACAGATCTCCTAGTCAGCTCTCCTATCCTCTGTTCTTAAAAAGGATAGATGTTTAACTTATCTATTGCTATGTAACAAATTACTTCAAAACTTAATGACTGAAAATAACAAACATTTATTATCTCATATACTTTCTTTCTTTGTTTTTTTCTTTTTTCTGAGATAGAGTTTCGCTCTTGTTGCCCAGGCTGGAGTGCAATGGCGCAATCTTGGCTCCCCGCAACCTTCACCTCCCAGGTTCAAGTGATTCTCCTGCCTCAGCCTCCCGAGTAGCTGGGATTACAGGCGTGCACCACCACACCTGGCTAATTTTGTATTTTTAGTAGAGATGGGGTTTCTCCATGTTGGTCAGACTGGTCTCGAACTCCAGACCTCAGGTGATCCGCCCACCTCAGTCTCCCAAAGTGCTGGGATTACAGGTGTCAGCCACTGCGTCTGGCCTATCTCACATACTTTCTGAGGGTCAGGAATTCAGAAGCTGCTTAGCTGGGCCATTTTGGCTCAAGGTCTCTCCTGAGGTTACAGTCCAGATGTTGGTTGAGGCTGCAGTTATCTGAAAGCTTAATTGGGGCTGAAGGATCAGCTTCTAAGCTCATTCACATGGCTGTTAGCAAGAGGTCTGTTTCTTGCTATGTGGGCCGCTTGTCATGTTATGGAAGTCAGCTTTCTCTAGAGTGAATGATCCAAAATAGGAAGCAGGAAACAACACTGCCTTTTATTACCTAACCTGTAAAATTGCATACCATCATTTCAGCCATATTCTGCTGGTCAGACAGAGCAAATCAAATACAATGAGGAAGGTAACTATAAAATAACATGAATAGCTGGCTGGGCACAGTGGCTCACAACTGTAATCCCAGCACTTTCAGAGGCTGAAGCATGAGGATTGCTTGAAGCCAGGAGTTTAAGATCAGCCTGGGCAACACAGCAAGACTCCCTCTCTACAAAAAAATTTAAAAATTAGCTGGGCATGGTAGCACACACCTGTAGTCCTAGCTACTCAGGAAGCTGAGGTTGAAGGATTGCTTGAGCCCAGGGGGTCAAGGATGCAGTGAACCATGACCATACCACTGAACTCCAGCCTGGGTGACAGAGTGAGATCCTGCCTCTATTTTTTTTTTAAGAGAGAACATGAATGTCAGAAGGTGAGATCACTGGAGACCATCTTACTTGGAGGTTGGCTGCCACAGTAGGCAAAAGAGAATTACCAGATAAATGGAAAAAATCTGAAGTACAAAAGGAAAAGACCAAGGTAATCAAATGTGAAATGTGACTCAAGATGGTTCATGAAGGAATAGAAGAGGATTTAAAAACAATACAAATGATTAGAAACACTGATTGGTATCCTTGCATAGATTTTACAAACAACAAAAAGGGAGGATGGGCCAAAGGAAAAGAAGAAGAGGGTTGAGAAAATAGCATTCCCTTAGATGAAGGTGCATGCAGAGTACTATTTTCCATTTTAAGAGAGTCTGGAGATTGGGACACCTCCAATTCAGCCACAGGTAGTAGCTCTAAGAATTGACTTAAGCTCTGAGGATAACTGCTGAAGAGAATGTTGAAGAAATGCTGCATTTATCAGGTCTTAGAATTAGTATCTGTGTCTGAAGGTGTTTAATATAAGCCCCTTTCTTGAGGTCCTGCATAACTGCAAATGGAATTGCTGTTTGCTTTGCTTTCATTGGAGGTGGACATTATTGGAGTATGCAAGCATTCTTTGTCCATCTCTAAACTTGAAAACATTTGTAACACTGCTGAGAGTTAAACATTGAGGATATCTTACTGCTTTTCAGTACACCTTACTGCTTTTTATATTGAAAGCTAATTGTCCTTTTTCTAAACATCTATGAAAATAATTTCAACTTTAAAGTCTCTACATTTCTACTTTTTCCTTGCACAAATTCTGAGAACTGCTGTGTACTAGGCATGGTAGTAGGTGCAACAAATATAATAATGAGCAAGACATGGAGCTTGCAATATACAATATATAGTGTAAGCAAGCAATTTTAATATCAAATGAGAAATCCTAAGATGGCAGTACAAGGAGTTACAGGAATATACAGAAGGTGGTCCTAACCCAATCCTGGGGAGCATGCAGTAAAAAAAAGGTTTCCCACCTCCCTCTCAAAACCCCACATCTAACAAAGCACAATATCTGCTTGATTTTGCTTCATAAATGTCTCTAGGATCCATCTAAACTTCATTTTTATCACGTTGCCCTGAGTAGGCCACTGTCATCAATTAACTATTCTATTACAATAGTCTTATTACAATAGGCTTACAAATCAATGGTCATCCTGAATCCACATCTGTCCTTGTTTTCCACATAGCAGCCAGTATGTTATTTTGAAAATATATATTTTTTCATGTTACTTTTCTGTTTAAAATATTTCAGCAGCTTCTCATTGCTCTTATAATAAAGATAAATTCCTTAATATAATTCATTCCATATCTATTTTTCTAATTACATCTGAAGCCGTGTACCTCAGTCACTCACTTTACACAAGACACATGGGTCTTTTGTGTACGACAGTCTGCTTTCATGCTAAGGTTTCTGAACATATTATTTCCTCCTTACATCAACATTTTCCCTCCCCCTCTTTGTCTTGTTAATTCTATATTTTCCTTTAGAATTCAACGGAATCATTTCCTTGGAGAAGACTTTTTTGACTTCCCTTACATCCTGGATAAAATGAAATACATTTTATTTTATGTTATTATAAAAACATGCTTTTCTCCTTTGTGGCATTTGTTACAACTATGATATTACTTCTATTTGTCTGATTATTTGACCTCCTGCCACTCTTCCCTCAAAGCCTCTAAAATCAGAAATGTAGGAACGAAACCAAACTCACTCTCTCCCATCTTCCCTACTAGACTACTTGCTCCCTATAGTCAGAAAGTTTTCTTTTAGAAGCAGAGAGAATTGAGAAAGATGAAGTTAAGCAAAGGCTATGCCATAAAGACTTGTAGGTTAAGCTAAAGACTTTGACTTTGACTCTGAAGTCAGTAGTTGTCCAATGGGCAATGAAATATCATATCTGAGATATTTTTAATTTTACTATTATCTTACTTTCAGTGATAGAAACTGTTTTATGCTTAACAGATTAGTTATGAGCTCGGCAAATTGTTATTGAACAATTAAACAGGACAGAATATAAATTTCCTTCTTTTTTTGAGACAGAATCTGGCTCTGGCACCCAGGCTGGAGTGCAGTGGCACAATTTCGGCTTACTACAACCTCCGCCTCTGCATTCAAGCAATTCTCCTGTCTCAGCCTCTGGAGTAGCTGGGATTACAGGTGTGTGCCACCACGCCCAGCTAATTTTTGTTTTGTATTTTTAGTAGAAATGGGGTTTCACCATGTTGGCCAGGCTGGTCCTGAACTCCTGACCTCAGGTGATCCACCCACCTAGGCCTCCCAAAGTGCTGGGATTACAGGTGTGAGCCACTGCACCTGGCTAAATTTCCTTCTTAAATGTGAGAACATTAGAATTCTGTCCTTAAATGGAAAAGAATTTGAACTAAATTATTAGACAGATGATAAGAAATCAATTAGTTGTATTAAAACTAAGCATGGTAACTATTTAACCAGAGGAACCAATTAATCCAACGTATACTGAAGGAAACCTTGCAGTTCCCTTAAAGGCAGTCTACAATTCTCCAAAGACAGAACCTGAGGGACTTTTGGACATGGCCCTCATAGCCTAACTTTTGCCCCCTACTGCCACTCTTTCCCTCAAACCCCTAAAACCAGAAGTATAGGCATGAAACTGAACTCACTCTCTCCCACCTTCTAAGAGCTCTAATTTCTCTTTCTATTTCTTAAAGCTGATTTTATAGAGCAGACATGGTCTTGTCAGCTGTGACTCCATTAAAAAAAAAAAAAAAGCTTTTGCCCAAAAGAAAAAGACCAATTCTTACTTGGTCTTTGTTGTCCAGTAATTTTAGTATGTGGTTCATAGAGAAAACAATGAGAGAACCTTCAGAAAGTTGGAAAGAAAGTTGCACATTGAATTTTAAACTATTTTTTAAATAATCATTTAAATTAGAGAGGTATATAAAGTCACAAAGCAGAGACAGAATAAGCTCTAGCCAAGACTTGAACAGAAGTGTTTAAATGTACTAGCACATATAGAGTAAAAACATGACTGTCTTTAAGATATTTAGCCAATAAAAGATGTTTAGAAAAAGGAAAGTCAAACCGTGGTAGTATTTTATTTCACGATCAGAAGAGAGAGTGTCCTGGCCCAGTATCATAACCAACCAGGTGATATGGCAGATATGATCCTGTGGTGGAGATGTACTTAGTAATTTCCAGGGCTCTATGACATCAGGCATTAAAATTGCCAAATAACTCCTCTTTTCCTAGTTGCAGGCTAACTAAGCAGCCTTTTAGTTATAATTAAGGTTTTCCATTTTCATTTGCCTACCGAGAAACCATTTGTTCTAAGTCTACCTGATGGTTAAACTTCTTATTTTAAATTAAGTAAATTAATTGGCATTTAAGGTTTTTGTCATTAGCCTCCATGAGCTTGTTTAATGTGAGTACACTTTGAGGTTCAGATCTAGGCATTCATTATGCTGACAATCATGTTTTCAAGCTGAGGGCCTAAAGACCTGTGCATATTCAGGCCTGCCATAAATTTGCCAAGGAAAGAATCAGTGAACTTGAAGAAAGAAATGTAGAAATTATTTAATTGGAACAACAGAGAAAAAAATAGACTAAATTAACAGAGCTTCAGAGATCTGTGAGACTATAACAAATGATTTAATGTTTGTGTCATCAGAATCCCAGGAAGAAAGGAGAAAGAGGGAGGGACTGAAGAAGTACTCAAAGAAGTAATGGATAAAATCTTCCCAAATTTGGAAAGGAGCATTAACTATATACTGAAGAAGCTAAAAAGATAAACCCAGAGATATCCAACCACACTTATATTAACTTGACTTCTGAAAACTAAAGATAAATGAAAAGTCTTGAAAGCAGTCAGAGGAAAATGACACTTTGCCTATAGAGGAAAACCAATTTGAATGACAGTGGATTTCTCATCAGAAACCACTGAAGTCAGAAGGAAGTAGCACAGTACTTTTCAAGTGCTAAGAGAACTGTCAACTCAGAATCCTATTCTCTGTGAAAATATTCT
This sequence comes from Homo sapiens, assembly GCF_000001405.40. Classification (NCBI taxonomy): domain Eukaryota; kingdom Metazoa; phylum Chordata; class Mammalia; order Primates; family Hominidae; genus Homo; species Homo sapiens. The sequence goes on along the minus strand of NC_000011.10, from coordinate 7,130,035 downwards.
TCAGAAATGAAGGGTGAAATCAAGAAATTGTCAGATGAAGGAAAATAATTTGTTACCTACAGACCTACCTAAAACAATGGCTAAACAAAAATGAAATGACAGCAGAAAATATTGTGGAAAATTAGGAAGAAAAAAAGTATGCTAAACAAAAATATAAATAACTACAATAGGCTTTCCTCTTCCTCTTGAGTTTTCTGAGTTATGTTTGATGGTTAAAGCAGAAAGTCATAATATTGTCTGACACAGTTCTAAATACATGTAGAAGAAATGTTTAAGACAATGATAATATAAATGCAAAAAACGCATGCATTCTTATACACCAATAACAGACAAACAGAGAACCAAACCATGAGTGAACTCCCATTCACAATTGCTTCAAAGAGAATAAAATACCTAGGAATCCAACTTACAAGAGATGTGAAGGACCTCTTCAAGGAGAACTACAAACCACACCTCAACAAAATAAAAGAGGACACAAACAAATGGAAGAACATTCCATGCTCATGGATAGGAAGAATCAATATCGTGACAATGGCCATACTGCCCAAGGTAATTTATAGATTCAATACCATCCCCATCAAGCTACCAATGACTTTCTTCACAGAATTGGAAAAAACTACTTTAAAGTTCATATGGAACCAAAAAAGAGCCCGCATTGTCAAGTCAATCCTAAGCCAAAAGAACAAAGCTGGAGGCATCAAGCTACCTGACTTCAAACTATACTACAAGGCTACAGTAACCAAAACAGCATGGTACTAGTAGCAAAAGAGAATGGTACTGGTACCAAAACAGAGATATAGACCAATGGAACAGAACAGAGCCCTCAGAAATAATACCACACATCTACAACCATCTGATCTTTGACAGACCTGACAAAAACAAGAAATGGGGAAAGGACTCCCTATTTAACAAATGGTGCTGGGAAAACTGGCTAGCCATATGAAGAAAGCTGAAACTGGATCCCTTCCTTACACCTTATACAAAAATTAATTCAAGATGGATTAAAGACTTAAATGTTAGACCTAAAACCATAAAAACCCTAGAAGAAAACCTAGGCAATACCATTCAGGACATAGGCATGGGCAAGGACTTCATGTCTAAAACACCAAAAGCAATGGCAACAAAAGCCAAAATTGACAAATGGGATCTAATTAAAGTAAAGAGCTTCTGCACAGCAAAAGAAACTACCATCAGAGTGAACAGGCAACCTACAGAATGGGAGAAAATTTTTGCAATCTACTCATCTGACAAACAGCTAATATCCAGAATCTACAAAGAACTCAAACAAATTTACAAGAAAAAAACAAACAACCCCATCAACAAGTAGGCGAAGGATATGAACAGACACTTCTCAAAAGAAGACATTTATGCAGCCAACAGACACATGAAAAAATGCTCATCATCACTGGCCATCAGAGAAATGTGAACCAAAACCACAATGAGATACCATCTCACACCAGTTAGAATGGCGATCATTAAAAAGTCAGGAAACAACAGGTGCTGGAGAGGATGTGGAGAAATAGGAACATTTTTACACTGTTGGTGGGACTGTAAACTAGTTCAACCATTGTGGAAGACAGTGTGGTGATTCCTCAGGGATCTAGAACTAGAAATACCATTTGACCCAGCCATCCCATTACTGGGTATATACCCAAAGGAACATAAATCATGCTGCTATAAAGACACATGCAAAAGTATGTTTATGGCAGCACTACTCACAATAGCAAAGACTTGGAACCAACCCAAATGTCCAACAATGATAGACTGGATTAAGAAAATGTGGCACATATACACCATGGAATACTATGCAGCCATAAAAAATGATGAGTTCATGTTCTTTGTAGGGACATGGATGAAGCTGGAAACCATCATTCTCAGCAAACTATCGCAAGGACAAAAAACCAAACACCACATGTTCACACTCATAGGTGGGAACTGAACAAGGAGAACACTTGGACACAGGAAGGGGAACATCACATACCGGGGCCTGTTGTCGGCGGGGGGAGTGGGGAGGGATAGCATTAGGAGGTATACCTAATGTAAATGACGAGTTAATGGGTGCAGCACACCAACATGGCACATGTATACATATGTAACAAACCTGCACATTGTGCACATATACCCTAGAACTTAAAGTATAATAAAAAATTATATATATATATATATATATATATATATATATATATATATATATATATATATATATAAATGGGGGAGTAGAAAGGGATGTAATAGAAAATAAATTTTCTACATTTCATGCAAACTGGTAAAATGATACCAGTAGACTAGGATAAGTGATATACAAAGACATAGATATAGACAGCTATAAATACAGATAGATATCAGGTGATATCTAGAGCATGCAATAAAAAAGCTATATAAAGAGATACATTAAAAAACATTACAGATACATCAAAATGGAATTCTAAAATATTTCAAGTAAACCACAAGAAGACAAGAAAAAGAAAATAAAGGGAAAAAAACAGAAAACAAAGAAAAATGGGTGCACTTAAACCATAGCATTATCAATAATTATATGTTATCTAAATTCACTAATTGAAAAACAGAGATGGGCAAAGTGAAATTAAAAAGCACAACCTGATTATATGCTGTGTAAAAGAAACTCACTTCATATATTGCATATAGATAGAGTGAGAGTAAAAGGATCAAAAAATAGATATTGTGCAAACATTAAAGAAAGCAGGAGTGGCAATATTGTCAGATAAAATATATTTTAGAACAAAGAAAACTACCAGTGACAGGGAGGTACAAAGGTCAATGCACCAAAAAGACATATAGTAATCCTAAATGTTTATATCCTAAAAAAAAGAGCTGTAAAATATACAAAGCAAAAACTGATATAACAGAAACAAGAAAATGACAAATCCACAGTTACATGTGGAGACCTCTCTCAACAATGTATTGAACAACTAGACATAAAATCACCAAAGATATGAATAACTCAACAACATTATCAGCCAACAGGATTTAATCAGCACTTATAGAACACTACACCTAAAACCAGCAGAACGTATTTTTGTTCCAAGTGCCCACAGAACATATACCAAGATAGGCCATACCCTGGTCCATAAAGCAAACCTCAACAAAATTAAAATAAATGAAATTCTAGATAGTGTGGTCAATATAATCAAACTGGGAATCAAAAGCAGAAACATAACAGAAGAATGTCCAAATAATTTGGAAAATATAAATACACTTCTATATAACCTATTGGTCTTAAGAGAATGTCTCAAAGGAAATTTAAAAAAATATCTCATTGAATAAAAAGGAAAATACAACATATCAAAACTTTTAGAACACAGCTAACGCAATGTTAAGAAAGAAATGCATACATTAGAAAAGAAGAAAAGTCTCAAAGTGATCATCTAAGTTGCCACCTCAAGAACCTAGAAAAAGGGAAACAAAATAAATCCAAAGCAAGTGAAGAAATGAAGTAATGAAGATAAAAATGGAAATCAATAAAACTGAAAACAGAAAAAAAGAGAAAAATCATTCGGACGAAGGTGGGGAGATAATGAAATTGGCAAACCTTTAACAAAATTGATATTAAGAAAGAGGGAAAGAGAATACGAATTACCAATATATGGAATGAAACAGAGGATATCACTATAGACCCTGCAGACATAAAAAGGATTGTAAGGAAATAGTATCAACATTACTGAAACCATAAATGTGCCAACTTGGATGAAATGAGCTAGTTCCTCAAAAAACACAAAGTACCACAATTCACCCAATATAAAAGAGATAATCTAATTCTATAACAATAAAATTGAATTTTAAAAACTCCCCCAAAATATATCTACAGACTCAGATGGTTTCTCCAGAGAATTTTACCAAACATTAGAAGAATAATTAACATAAATTCTACATAAGTGCTTCCAAAAAATAGAAGATGAGGGATCGTTTCCCAATTTATTTTATGAAGTAATATTACCATGATATCAAAACAAGACAGTATATTGAAAAAGAAGTTAAAGAACAATAACCCTCATGAATATAAGTGAGAAAGTCCTTAAAATATTAGCAAATACAATTCAGCAATATGTAAAAAGAATTATACACCATGACCAAGTTGAAATGATTCCAAAAATGCAAGGCTGGCTCAATAATTAAAAATCAACCAATATAATTCACTATTTTAACAGACTATAAAAGCAAAACCACATGAACATAGCAACCAGTGCAGAAAAGACATTTAATAAAATTCTTCACCCATTCATTGTAAAAACTCTCAGAAGCATAGGAGTAGAAGGAAATACCTTCAGCTTGATAGAACATCTACACAATACCTATAATACCATTATCTTTAATGGAGAAAGATGCTTTTCCATTAAGGTTGGGAACAAGGCATTCACCACTCTTATTCAAAATAATGCTGGAAGTTCCATCCAGTGCAATAAGACAAGAAAAAGAAACGAAAGGCAAACAGAAAAGGAAGAAATAAAACTGCCCCTGTTTGCAAATGAAATGATTGTCTAGATAGAAAATATCAAGGAATCTACAAAAAAAAAAAAACCCTCAAAATTCCTAGAACTAGTAAGTGTGTTCAGCAAGGTAATGAGATACAAGATTAATATACAAATATTATTCATTAGTAATGATCACATGGAAAATGAAATTAAAAATACAGTACCATGTATAATCACTTGAAAAATGACACAGGTATAAATCTAAAAAAATGTACAAGATTTGGATGCTGAAAACTACAAAATGCTGGTGAAAGAAATCAAAGATCAAAAGAAATGAGAGACATACTGGTTTAACAGATTGGAAAACTCAAAACAGTAAAGATGCCAATTCTTCCCATATTCATATGCAGGTTTAACACAACTCCTATCAATTTCCCAGTAAGATTTTTCATATACAGATGAGATAGACAATCCTAAAATTTATATGGAAAGGTGAAGGAACTAAAAAAGCTAAAAAAAAAAAAAAATTAAAAACAAAAATCAGAAAGAATTGGTCTATATGATTTCAAGACTTATTGTATAGTTAGAGTAAACAAGACTATGTAGTACTAGTGGAGGAATAGATCAGTAGAACAATGGGACACAATAGAGAATTCAGAAATGTGCTAAAAAATGTTCAATAGATTTTTGACAAAAGTTCACAGGAAATAAAGGTAATTTAATAAAGGAAAGATTGCCTTTTCAACAAATGGTGCTGCAACAACTGGACATCCATAGACCAAAAGTAGCCACACGTGCGTGTGTGCACACACACACACACACCCCTCAACCTGTTTTACACCTTATCCAAAATTAACCCAAAATGAATATAAATTATGCCCATAAATGTAAAATGTAACACTTATGATAACTTTAGAAAAAACCTAGGAAAATATCTTAAGGAATCACAGTTAAGCAAAGATTTCCTTGACTTGATACACTGATTCATAAAAGGAAAAACTGATAAATGGAACAGCAAAAATTGAAACCTTGTCTCTGTGAAAAACACTTAAGAGAATGAAAAGGCAAGCTACAGGGTGGAATAAAATATTTGCAAACCACATATCTAACAAATTACTAATATTTAGAATATATAAGGAACTCTCAAAACTAACCAGTAATAAACAACTCAATTACAAAGTAGGAAAAGGATATGAAGAGACATTTCACCAGCAGATATGCGTAGTTATCCTCTGGCATGCGCATATGTCAAATAGGCACATGAAAAGATGTTCAACATCATTAGCCACTCAGGAAATGCAAATTAAAACCACAAATGAGACCTCCTTACACATCTATCAGAATGGTTAAAATTAAAAATAGTGACAACACCAAATGCTGGCAAGCTTTTAGAGAAAATGGCTTACTCTTACATTGCTGGTGTGAATGTAAAATGGTACGGCCTGTGTGGAAAACAATTTGGCAGTGTTTTAAAAAAGCTATGCATGCAACTACCATATGATCCAGCAATTTATGATCCTGGGCATTTATCCCAGAGAAATGAAAACTTATGTTCACCCAAAAACCTGTGAACAAATATTTATAGCTGATTTATTCATTACACTAAAAAACTGGAAAAAAAAAACAAGGAGTGAATGATTAAACTGTGATGCATCTGGCTGGGCTCAGTGGCTTGCGCCTGTAATCCCAGCACTGTGGGAGGCCGAGGTGGGCAGATCACTTGAGGCCAGGAGTTTGAGACCAGCCTGGCCAACGTGGTGAAACCCTGTCTCTACTAAAAATACAAAAATTAGCTGGGCATGTTGGTGGGCACCTGTGGTCCCAGCTACTTGTGAGGCTGAGGCATGAGAAACACTTGAATCCTGGAGGCAAGGGTACAGTGAGCCAAGATCAAGCCACTGCACTCCAGACTGGGCGACAGAGTGAGACACTGTCTAAAACAACAACAACAACAAAAAATAGTGATGCATCTATACCTTGCAATGCTAATCAGCAATAAAAAGATACAAACTATTAAAACATGCAAAAACCTGAATGCATCTCCAGAGAATTTTGTTGAGTTTAAAAAAACAACAGCCAATCTTTAAAGGTTACACACTGCATCACTCCATTTATATAACATTCTTAAAAATACAAAATTATAGAAATGGAGGAGATTCGTGCTTGGAAGAGTTTAATGAGGGTTACTCTAAACTGACTAAATTGAATAAAGGTTCTTCAAACTGGAATATTTCTGTATTATTTCTTAATAATTTAATATTTTCTTATTTCTTAATGTATTATATTAATAATGTATATCTCTAAATAAAAAGTTAACAAAAAACTACAAGAATATTAACTTAATAGTGAAAAATAAATAAAAACTTTTTCTTCCCAAATTTGTCTTTTTTTCTTGTTGCTTCATGCTTTCTGTCAGAAAAGGAGCAATAAATATGTGTACTGAACACGTGTGACAGTCATTTTAATATTACCTCATTTGGTGCTCACATAAAACTCTGAGGCAAGTTCTATCATCCCATTTTCTATTTCAGGTATCTAAGTCTTCGAGAGGTTCTGTAACTTATTCAAGATTAACTGTTGAGCATCAAGTGACAAAGCCAAGATTCACATTTAGATCTGTCTGGCTATAAAACCAGTGCTCTTGACTGCCATAATGTCCTTCAAAGACAATAACTTGAGAAGGATTTTATTTTAGACTGAGAGCTTGGAGCATGTGATTTTAATTGTGTTTCTCTTCACCCAGTTTTCTTACATTTCCTTCCCTACATTGCTCCTCTGCTGCAATGCAGATATATTACTTGTATTCCAGGAGCATCACAGGCAAACTGAGCTTTTTCTGCTTCACTGACTGACCTCATAAAATCCAATACTTCTCCAGTTTTTAAATAGCTCATGGAAAAACTATTGGGCATTGCCTGCAGTATCCAGGGTTTGTTCCGTTCTGAATCTCAGTAAAAGTAGCTGCCTTATGCTTCCCCATCCTCCCTACTGTCTGATGAATCTGGGCAGTGGTGGCAGTGGTTTTTAAGTATGTTAATAAGAAAACCCACTCATTCTTATAATTAAAATTCTCACGTGGATTGATTCCTCAGTCTTCTGCTCAGATTTTCATGGCTTGCAGATATTAAATTATTATTATGTGGATATGGAGGTTCTTTAGGATTGTCAGCCACTCAGGTTCTACAGAGATTCTAGTAAACAAAATGCTACACAAATCAGCTTTTTTCTGCAGTAATCTTTCTCAATAAGTCCTTCAAAATTTTTTGAATATACATTAATTATTTACCATGTGCTGGGCACTGTGCTATGTGTTTTAAATATGCTGAATGACTTAATTCTCCCCAATCATAAAGTGAGCTTTTTTTTTTTTTTATCATTCCTATTGTACAGATGAGAAAATAGACATGGAGAAGTTAAGTGATTTGCCTTAAAACCACATATGGGTTGGAATTTTGAACTCAGGAAGTTTGATTCAAGAGCACAAAAGCTTAAACACCATGTTACACTTCTTATTTTAATGAATTCATTTCTGTATTTTATAAATTTATTTCCATGAGCCTTTGAAGATCACTAGAAGGTAGTTGAAGTTGGGAAAGAAAATTGAAGTACAAAAAGTGGCAAAGAAATAGTGATTAAAAACATTTTATTTTATAATAATTTCAAAGTTAGAGAAAGGTTGTAAGATGAGTAAAAAGAATTTCAGTATGCCTTGTCAGGGTTCCCAATTGTTAACATTTGACACAATTTCTTTGCCATTCTCTCTCCCCACTCCACCCTGCCTTTATCCACACACACACATTTTCCCCCCAAACCAGTTGAAAATAAGTGGAAGCCATGATAATCCATTATGCCTATATCTCTAAGAAAAGGACACTCTCCTATATAAGTACAAAATTGAGAAAATGAACATTGAGACCATAAAATTCACAAATTCCATTCAAATTTCACAAATAGTCCCAATATTGTACATTATAGCAAAGGAAAGTACAAGAATATTCTGGTTCAAGTTCTGCCTGAGATAAAATGCTACCGTTGTCACTTTTCATTTTCTTCCGTCTGAAACAGTTTCTGTCTTTTCTCGTTCATGATGTTGACATTTTTGAATAGTACAAGCTAGCTATTTTGTAGAATTCCCCTCAACTTGAGTTTAATAATGCTGCTTCAATATTAGATTCAGGTTATGCATTTATGGCAGGAACATCACAGAAATGATGCTATGTTCTTCTCAGCAGATCATAACAAGAAGACAATGTTGATTTGTATCATTCTAAATGATGTTAATTTTTATCACTAGATAAAGGTGGTGCTTGCCAAATTTCTTCACTATAAATTTGTAGTCTTCCCTTTACAATTAAGTATTTTGTGGAGAGATCCTTTGATATTACATTAATATCTTATTCCTCATCAAACTTTTACCCACTAGTTTTATACTCTATTGATGATTCATGCCTAAATAATTACTATGATGTTTGCTAATAATGACTTCCTAACTTTCTATCATTCCTTCTACATTTACTAGTTGATTCTGTACTGTAAGAAAGAGCTTTTGCTTCTCCCATATTTCTTTAATCATTTATCTCACTATGGACTCACTGATCCTTATTTTAATCAATAGGTTATAATTCATTACTATCTTTATTTATTTTGATGCTGAAACTCTCCCAGTGGTCCTTCTGGCTGCTTACTGTGTCATTTTGATAAGTCCACATTGTTTTTAATCATTCTCTTGTTTTATGACAAATCAAGATATTTTGGGCTCATCTTGTACTTTCCTTGCCCCAGCCCTGGAATTAAACATTTCTCTAAAAAGTCTTTGTTTCTCTTATTGGAGAAACATACATATATAAGTCCAGATCTGGACACTATGTGTGTTCTTTGCTGCTGGGGCTCCATTGCTTTTAGGCTGTCTCAGCAGAAAAAGCTAGAAAATATAGAAAATGTACACACACACACATGTATCTATCTACACATGCACATACAGGGCTATGTCCTTTTCCTTTCTTTCACTCTCTCTCTCGTGTGTGTGTGTGTTTGTGTGTGTGTATAATATAAATATATATCTCTCTCAAGAGTTCATCATACTGGTATCTCCAATTCTGATGGAACACCATTCTGTTCTAATTTTCACCCTTTAAATTATTGAATATCCTTTCTCTTACAGTGAGAAACTTGGCTCCCGTTACTTTTGGCCATTTCCTTTATTTATAAACAATGCCTTTTTAGCTCCAGCCCCACAGGATCCATTAGCCAATGCTGTCTCCTAGGCCCTAAATGCCTCCTCCACCCAGGCCTTGCAGTCTCGCAGGAATAGACATTTTTGCAATTAAGCATCAGAAGAGTAAGAACAATAATGTAAACAGACCAGGGCCTTAGAACTGCCGTGTTGGTGGAACATGTGAGTGATAATCCAAGGCTGCATAAGGTTCAGTGTACATACAAAAGATGGAGGGGGTGGTTAGGAAAGACTTTATGTATAAGCTAATCACTGTTCAGCCCTTAAAATTATATCTGGCAAAGAGAAGAGACAGAGAAGGTACAGGTAGAGTGCACAGCACGAACAAAGATATGGAGGTATGAAACAGATTTTTCTATTCAGAAAATTTTAAGCAGAAGACAAAACCTGCAGAGAGAACTGCAATGAGAGATAAAGCTGTACAATATGCAGGATACAAGCTTTATACATTATTTACAAAAATGTTTAAAAGTTATTCAATAGTTAATGGGGAGCTATTGTCTAGTTTTAACATGAGAGATATTTTAGTTCTAAATGTGAGTTTTTAAAATGCCACTTTGTCTGAAGCATTGAGATTAAAATTGAAATGGGGCTACACTGAAGGTGGCAAATAGTTAAAAGACTGCTGTGATATATCAGGGAAGGGATCTAGAAGGCACTGAACCAAGGCAATAGCCATGTGAATGGAAATAAGAAGGTGGATGCAGAAGTGTTAAGGAGATAGAATCAATATGTTTTAATGATAATTAGAGATGGAGAACGTGGAAAAACTTGAAACATACAGGGACATCTATGATCCCTGCATAGGAGACTGAGATCATGGTAGTAACATTCACTGGTAGAGTATAGAGAGGGTGTTTTAGAAAGAAGATGATGAATTCAGCTTGTGACTTCTTGAGTCTCTCTCTTAGCCAGCTCAGGCTGCTATAACAAATTACCATCGACTAGGTGGCTTGAAGAATAAACATTCATTTCTCACAGTTCTGGAGACTGGAAGTCTAAGATCAGAGTGCCAGTATAGTTGGGTTCTGGTGAAGGCCCTGTTCCAGGTTTACAAATGCCCATCTTCTAATTATATCCTCAAATAGCAGAAATAGGTATCACCTCCCTTGTGTATCTTCTAATGAGGGTACTAATCCCACTCTTGAGGGCCTCACCCTCATGACCTAATTACCTCCCAAAGACCCTCCCCCAGTACCACTGCACTGGGGGTTGGGATTTTTCAATGTATGAATTTCGGAAGGACACAGACATTCAGTCCATAACCATGTGAGTTGCCTGTTGTATATCCAGTAAGATATATGAACTGAGCAGTAGGTCTGACGCTCCCAATTGAACAAGACTGAAGATAAAACTCTGAAAGTCACTAGTGTATTAGTGGTAGTGGAAACTGCAATAATCGATTATACAACCTAGAGAATTTTGTTCTGTGAAAAGAGAAGAGACAGCCGAGAACAGATCCTGAAAACAAAAACATCCAAGGGATGCCTAGAAGACTTGAAGACTTGCAAAACAGCCTATGAGAAAATGATTGAAGAATGAGAGGAAGAAGCAAGAATGTTCAGAAGCCAAGCTTATGGGAGTGACTTCTTGCTTTAAGTCACTTTTGAATAGCTCCCCACAATACAGCTTTCTCAATTAAAAATAGCCAAACAAACAAAAGGGAAGAAAAATGTACATTCAGTGACAAAAGCCTAAAATTAAAACCAATTCCTAATAACATCAGAATCTTTTAGGAATCTCCCACTCCATTCCTTAACACTCTCATGCTTTGTCTCATACCATTGAGGCTCTGAAAGCATGAGTGGAAACTAATATATAATTCATAATCAGCTAAACTACCCACAAACTACTCCATGACCACCTTCCTCCTGGCACATTTTTGTGTATATATATATATATATATATATATGTCTTCATCTCATCCATCAAGCTGCTCCCTCCACCACCCATCTGCAAGGTTTTCTCATCATCCATGTGTGTACCTTTGATGCACCCTCCTCAAAGTTTAATGTGCACTGAAATCAAGTGGGGATCTTGTTAAATGCATTTTAATTATAGGTGGAGTCTGAGATCCTGCATTTCTAACAAGCTCCAGCTGATACATCACTGCTGATCTGAGGACCACACTTCGAGTAGAAAGGATTTTTCTCACATCTCCACCTGTTTATAACATACATTCTTATATATGGTCTCTCAATCTCTGCCCTTTTATTTCCCCATTGATGCCTCTTTCAACGTTACTATGCCCTCTACTCCTTTCTGCTGATCCACTATGCATCTGTAGCTTTTATTCTGGCATTCAATAATGTTGTTATCTTCCTCACTTCATTCTTATCCTGTGCCTTAACTCGACACAATTCCTACTGCTCTTTCCGTTGGACTTTACTTTGCATTAGGAAAGCAAGCTGATTAAATGAAGCCACACTAGTGTGTTAGTTCCTAATAGCCATTTTATGCCTTTCTGGGTGTTTGTTCAATGAACCTCTCAGGAAAGTAGGCTGATGCAGGGAGATTTTCCTTAAATCATACCAAGTGGCATCACTGTGCAAGACCAGGCTTGTGGGTTGAAGGGAAGAAACAAGAAGAACATGGTCTTCCAAAATCTCTTAATTTTCCCTGAAACAGGAGTTGCTCCTTTCTCCTTCTCTGATTGCTTTTTGGGGCTTGGGGCTTGAAAATGCCAGGCATTTCAGACTCCAAATTCATAAGAGGCAGTGAGGATTATAGAGATTATGGTTTACAGACCCAAAATTGGGACACTGTGGTATAATGACACAGAATATCTGAAAATGTGACTCTCTCAGAAAATTCTATAACCCTGTTTGCAATGTAAAAATTGAATAAGGATTCAGTTTTGGCTCTGGTATTGTCTATGAATTTTTAAAAATGTTATTCACTCTTTAAAAAAACCTTTGTTTTTTTTAATCGCCAGACATAATAAAATCTATTTCAAAGATAATTACAAGAATTAAATCCCCAAATTTCTATATAATGTGAGAATCCAGAGGCAATTCGCCTCCCTTGTACAAGTAGTATTGCATTAAATCTTCACAACAATCTATGTCTGCACTATTTTTTTTACTGCAACTGTACAGATAAGAGAACAGAGAAACAGAAAATGTAAGAAATTGATCCAAGGTCACACCACTATTAAGTTGCACAGCTGATTTGAACTTTGGCAGTCTGACTCCAGATCCTGCAATTATTCTATTTTGGGCAAAGTATAATACAACATTCTTTTTGGACCTAATGCAAATTACCAGCAGTTTTCAGCATGGTGAGCATGAGCATTTTTACAGCACAGCCTACATCTGACTGATCTTTGTATCCCTCCTCCACCCCATCCCAGGTCTTGCGCTTTGGCAGTTGCTCAGTATATTTCAGTTAAACAAATGAAAAAACAAAACTCTATGGCAAGTGGCAAACAGTTCTGAATGGAGAATGTAAACTTTAGTCAACAAAAAAATTATCAAAGGCACAAAACTTTAATAAATGGCCAAGATTTCCAAGCAAATTTTTATTTTACTTTTCTACTAAAAGGTCAGAATTCATCAATCTTAAAATCCCTGGTAAGACTGAAGTTCAAACGAAGGATGTCTGTAATTCCCTCTTTTTATCCCTTAAAAGCATATAGCCCATTATAATAAAATATTTGCTCTTGGGCTTCTTCTGTCTTATTACTCTAAAAAAAAAAAGAGATGAAGGAATTGACACTTTCTTTTTATGTAACTAAAAATATCATAATATTTTTATTTAGTTTTATTTTAATATAAATAAAATATTTATATATTTTATTTTAAAATATAATGTTTTTTTAAAAAATCATGATTTAAAATCATGATTTTATTTTAAAATATCATGATATTTTATTTAGAGTTAATAGGGTAACATAATGCAGTTGATGATTTCCTGTTATCAAATCTGGATTTGGGTCTGGAGAGACCGATACACCTTCTCAAGAACAATGTACAGCACCAATACAGCGGTGTTTCTTGCGATAATTAAATTTGTCATCATTCTGCCAGCCACCTGAGAACTCTGGTGATGTAGTGACATTTATCTTATTCTGAAGACAGTATGGAGAAAAAAAGTCAAAAGTAACTAATCCATGAACACAGTAGTATTTTACAACGTGAGTTACAGTCTAGAATAAATATCTAATGTCCAAAAAGCCCAGCTGGACAATAAGGAGACTAATTTTTGACCTCCTAAAAGTCAGTGTAGGAACTCAGAAATAGTTATTAGACTTGGAAAGCAGATTACTATGATATGTGATAGTTAAACTTCTTTTCTGTTTCCAGAATTATCTCTGTTTCCCAAGAGATTGCTTTTTTCAATATGTATACCTTAGTCATGCTACAGGCATTCCTTAAATATATAATGGCTCACAGTTGCCCATTCATATTTAAGAATAAGGGAGTAGTATTGACGAGCTCTGTGTAAATAAGTGGAATTTAGCAACTGGCAGGCTTCACATCTGTTCATATATACCAAATTATTGGCCCATGAGCCTAATCAGGACTCATGTAGTGATTTGAACTTTATAAATTAGATTGCAAATAATCTAAAACTGGGAAGTCTCACATAAAATTTATATTTCTGATTTCTTTTTAAAAATAACTGTAAATGTTCTAGCAATACTAGGCCCACATTGACAAATGTCAGCAGACCAGTTGGTAGCTATTCTGCTTGAAGCCCATTTTACACATGTGTATATGTGTGACCTATCTGCTTCTTATTGACATCAGAACTGAAAATATCTACTTGAGAGTAAGAAGGCAGGAGATGAAACTTTATGCTGGAGAATTCTTACATAGTAGGATGAAGACAACTTTATTCTGAAGTGCCACACCCGACTAGCTGCCCTTGCTCTCTCTGGACAGATCATTTGCTTGTCTGTTTTCTTTTATTCAATATAAAAACTAAACTCCAGGTGCAGGGAATGAAATCGATCATACTCCACAGGTCACTATTAGTCTGTGCAAGGCACTTCTCTTATTATAGTTTAGTCTATTTCTTTTTTCTCTTAATTTCCCATCCACCCTTTGTACTCTGTTCCATTGTTCTTTTGTCATTCTCACCTTACTTGGCTATGTAATCAGTCTTAAAGTCTGGCAGAATGAGCTTTCCTTTTGTTCTTTTCCTATTATCTCATATGGTTTGTATTCCATTTCCCTTCATGGGCACCCAGTTAAATGCATTCCATAAGGTCTTAAACATGTATGTATTCATGAAAAATGGGAACATTTTATATATACTTTAGTGTTGTTTTGCAATATGCATTTTAAATTTACCTAAAGGATATTTTATTGTAGATTTCACTCTCTTATTTTTCAATCAACATTGTTTTAATTATCTTCCCATATTGCTCTGTGTATAACACATTCATTGATTCTGAAAAGTAGGAGGATGAACAGATTTGGCAACACATTGTTTGCTGGCAGCACTAAGAATCTACTTGATATATATGACCATAAATTTAAAGTGATACCAGACAGCAGTGTTTTGAAAATTTCCCTAACCATATTTATCTCCCTTGGTATAGTTGTGAAGTGTGGAGAGTTAGATCTAACAGGGTTGGGGTTTTGCCAGGTGAAAATATCAGAGCAAGAGAGAGACAAAGGAGTTAATGAAGTGATTAAGTTGAACCATAAAATGTAACCTGGGTAGGAAAGAAGTGAAGACATGAAGAAAGGAAGGTTTTATGAAAAATGGTAGGTTTAAATGGATTCCTGGTTGCAATAAAGATGGTGCCTAAAAGATGAAGCATAAGGTGGTAGCTTCTTGTTTGAGAGCAAAAAGTAGGAGTAGAGGTAATGGAGGGATTGCATTAAAATGCAATGACTAGTTTTAAGGTATGACAATGGGCTTACAATTTAATGTCCCCCACCCAAAATGCAGTGACATGTATTCTTTTACATTTCTCTTCATTAAACCCATGGGAGAGTCTCTTCAGTTAAGTTCCAAGATCAGGGTTGCTGGATTATAGAATATACACCTTTTTTTTAGAGAGAGGGGGGTCTTACTCTCGCACTCAGGGTGGAGTGCAGTGGTGTGATCACAGCTCACTGCAGCCTCAACCTCTGAGGCTCAAGCAATTCTCCCACTTCAGCCTCCCTGGTAGCTGAGCCTACAGGTGCACAACACTACACCTGGCTATTCCTTTTCTTTTTAGTAGAGACAGGGTTTCGCCATGTTACCCAGGCTGGACTCAAACTCCTGGGCTCAGGCGATCCGCCTGTCTCAGCCTCTGGAAGTGTTGAGATTTCAGGCATGAGCCACCACGCCCAGCCTATACACCCTTTTAATTTCCCCATATGCTGCCAGATTTCTCTCCAGAATAACCGTACTAGTTTATATTCCCACCAGCAGAGCATGAAGGTTCTTGTTTACCACATTTAACCTTCTAATTTTTGTTAGTACGAGTTGGTATTTCATGGTTTTCATTTGTATTTCTCTATTTACAAGTGAAACTAAGCATCTCGTCATATACTTGTTATCCATTCAGTGTTTCCTTTCTGTAAATAGCTCTCCTTTGCCCATTTCTTTCTATTTACTTTGATTTATATAGAATTGTACATATATTACAGATATTAATCCCTTGTCAACTAATTTCATAATTTAACTATTTACCTATTGGTCTTCAACTTACATGGTCTTAAATTTACCTTTGCTTATGATATAAGATAGTGATCTAATTCTGTTTTTCACAATAGAACAAGCCAGTTTCCCCAACAAAATCTATTGAACAATTATTTCCCTCACTGCTACTTGTATTATATAAGAAGTTAAATACACACAAATCTATAATCTATTTCTGGGCTTTGTACTCTGTTCCATTGTACTTTTGTCATTCTCACCTTACTTGGCTATGTAATCGGTCTTAAAGTCTGGTAGAATGAGCTTTCCTTTTGTTCTTTTCGTATTATTTCATATATATTTTCTAATAGAAGAAAATATAGGTTAATATCCTTGTATCTTTGAAGGAAAAATGCTTTTTAAATCAGACAATAAAGCACTGATATCTTTCATCAAAATTAAGGATTACTTTTTAGTCAAGGTTATCACAGAAAGAGGACACAGATGAATTATCAATTGGAAGAAGATATCTGCAAAATCTAAAACTGAGAAGACATTCATATATAGAGACTCTATATTTTGAGAAATATATGTTTTTTCTCAAAAAACTTGCTAGATTTTTGTTCAAATTTTATTTTATTTATATGTTTACTTGAAGAAATTTGAACCTCTACAAATCTTAAGTCAGTCTGCCTTTAAACATGGCATATGAAGTTTTCTTTAGATCCTCATATAGCTTTTAGTATTTTTCTATTTAAAGGTCTTAGAAAAACTTTAAGTTAGTTTCCATGTAATTTACACTTTTTGCCATTATTGTAATATTATCTCATTTTCTATTTCCTACAAATAGTAATTGCCCATTTAGAGGAATGACATTTATTTTTACAAGTTAATATCTAGCAATCTTGCCTAATTCTCTCATTAATTCAAATACTAGAGTTTTTCTATTGGTTATCTGAAGTATTATAATGAAAATCATATTATCTTCAAGTAACGCACAGACTTACAGCAAAATAGTAACATTATACCAGGCTAACCTACCCTAATAGCTAAACTAGAAAAGTAAAAGAAAAAACATAAACACAAACTACAGACTAATCTCAGTTATGACCACAGATGAAAAAAATATAAATCAATCTTAGAAAACTGAATCTAGTGCTACATTAAAAAATAACACATCGTGACTCTGTAGGTTTATCTGAAGACATTTCTACATCATTGGTTTGAAGGAAAACATATAACCTGATTGAGAGATGTCCCTTAAGCAGTTGTTAATGTTCAACAACTGAACATTGTTAATATTCCTGGTAAAAACAAACAAAAGCCCCAGTATTTTTAGTAAACTAGGAATAAAGTAAAATTCTCTTAACAAACCCCACAGCAAATAACATGCCTCATGTTAAATATCAAAAGCAATCCCACTAAACAACTGCAGTAAAGTTAATAAGGATTCTCATTATTACTGCTACTAATAAAAATGGGTTTATTTTTATTTATTTATTTTGAGACACAGTCTCACTCTCTCACCCAGGCTGGAGTGCAGTCCAGGATCTAGGCTCACTGCAGCCTCCACCTACCAGGTTCAGCAATTCTCCTGCCTCAGCCTCCCAAGTAGCTAGGATTACAGGCACATACCACCACACCCCGCCAGTTTTTGCATTTTTAGTAAACTGGGTTTCGCCATGTTGGCCAGACTGGTCTCAAACTCCTGGCCTCAAGTGATCTGCCCACCTTGGCCTCCCAAAGTGCTGAAATTACAGGTGTAAGCCACCGCTCCTGGCCTACAAACGATATGATTGTCTCCCTAGAATATACAATACAATCAACTGAAAACTATTCGAAATTATAAGTATTGAGTAAGTAGGTATTATATGAGACATGTCTACAAAGATCAATAGCCTCCTTTACCAACCAGTAATAATAATTAGAAAAGACTGAGAGGGAAAAGCATTAACTGCAGAAGATAAATTATTCAATACCTTGGAATAAACCTTACAAGAAATGTGCAAAATCTATATGAAGAAAGGGACTCAATTTTACCTAAGGACGTAAAAGAAACTTGATTAAATGGAGAAACAAACTGTATTCTTAGATGTGAAAATTCAGTATTTTAGAAATACCAGTTCTTACAACATTTATCTATAATTTTGGTATATTCCCAATCAAAAGCTAAAATAATTTTTAAGAAACTTTACAAGCTGGTTTCCAATTTTATAATACAGGGAAAACTTGACAAGACTTGAGACATAAAAAAATGGAGACAAATTTGGCTGTGAAGAGGGAGGGTCGTAGGTGATAGCTAGAGAGGATGTGGAGGGTCATGAGAGTTTTAAATTTAAGAGACCTGAGCATGTGTAAATGCTGATGGGGAAAAGTTAGTCAAAGGGAAGAAGCTGAAATTAAAACAAAATTTTTTTCCTAAATACTTGCTAAATACCTGAGGGGCATAGTAAATCCCAGAATAAAAACATAACAAAATGAACATTTACTGAAAGACAGTTTCAGGATACACAAAATTCTTGCTCAGAGTGGCATCACAAACATAATAGTTTAACACCTACATTCAATCCTTTCCAAATTGCCATTGAAAGGACCAAAGGGTTATAATGAATAGGGCAGGAAATCAATCAGTGAGCAGACTATGGAAGGTTGTATTTTACATGTCAGTTACATTGAGCATATATCAAAAAATATAATAAATACAAGGTAGTAAAAAGGAACACCAAACTGTAATACCATTCAAGAAGCAGGAAAGCCTGTCTGGGAATAAGTGGAACTCAATGCCAAGATAACTCCTAATTAATCAAACCTGGCTCCATAGTCATCTTCGCTGCGTCTTTATCTGATGCTGAAGGGAGGGCTACAACATTTTCAGGAAAAGAGGCCCACTGAAATACTACTGGAGAGAATAACCTTGCTTCCAGGAAGGAGAAAACAACAGCTAATTCCACTGCCTGCAACATCCTGGCTAATCAGAGGTCCTGAGTCTGTCCATGTGACAATTTCACTGCTAGTATATTCAGCATTTGAGAAAGCCAGCATACTAAACATATCTACAACCAAGGACTCTCACAGAGTCTGCTTCACTCCCCTGCCACCTCCACAAGAGCAGGTGCTGGTATCCACAGCTGAGAGACCTGAAGACAGATCACAGGACCTGAAGACAGATCACAATCACAACTTCTAGTAATAAAATACACACTTAGAGAAATACAAATACAAAATGCACTGGAAAGTTTCCACAATAGACTAGAACAAGTAGAAGAAAGAAGTTCAGAGCTGGAAGACAAGGCTTTCAAATTAACCCAATCAGACAAAGACCAAGAAAAAAGAATTTTAAAAATGAACAAACCCTCCAGGAAATTTGAGATTATGTTAAATGGCCAAATCTAAGAATAAGTGGTGCTCCTGAGGAAGAAGAGAAATCTAAAAGTTAGAAAACTTATTTGAGGGAATAACTGAGATAAACTTCCCTGGCCTTGCTAGAGATCTAGACATCCAAATACAAGAAGCTCAAAGAATATCTGAGAAAATTATCACAAAAAGATCATCACCTAGGCACAAAGTCATCAAGTAAAGTCAAGACAAAGGAAAGAATCTTAAGAGCTGTGAGGCAAAAGCATCAGGTAAACCTATCAGATTAACAGTATATTTCTCAGCAGAAACCTTACAAGCCAGAGGGACTGGGGTCCTATCTTTAGCTTCCTGAAACAAAATAATTGTCAGCCAAGAACTGTGTATCCAGTAAAACTAACAGAATTAGTCCAACACAAAAATACCACAATCCTAAATATATATGCGCCTAACACTGGAACTCCCAAATTTATAAAACAATTACTATTAGACCTAAAAAATGGGATTGACAGCAACATAATAATAGTGGGGGGCTTTGATACTCCACTGACAGCACTAGACAGATCATCAAGACAGAAAGTCAACACAGAAACAATGCACTTAAACTAACAAAAGGACTTAACAGATATTTACAGAACATTCTACCTAACAACTGCAGAATATACATTCTATTCATCAGCACATGGAACATTCTCCAAGACAGACAATATAATACGCCATAAAACAGGTCTCAATAAATTTAAGAAAATCAAAATTACATCAAGTATCCTCTCAGACCACACTGGAATAAAAGTGGAAAGTAGGCCAGGTGTGGTGGCTCACGCCTGTAATTCCAGCACTTTGGGAGGCCGAGGCAGGCAGACCACGAGGTCAGGAGATCGAGACCATTCTGGCTAACACGGTGAAACCCCGTCTCTACTAAAAATACAAAAAAAAATTAGCCAGGCGTGGTGGCAGGCACCTGTAGTCCCAGCTACTCGGGAGGCTGAGGCAGGAGAATGGCATGAACCTGGGAGGCGGAGCTTGCAGTGAGCCAAGATAGCGCCACTGCACTCCAGCCTGGGTGACAGAGTGAGACTCCATCTCAAAAAAAAAAAAAAAATGGAAAGTAACTCCAAAAGAAACCATCAAAACTATACAAATACATAAAAATTAAATAATCTGCCCTTGAATGATCATTGGGTCGACACTGAAATCAAGATGGAAATTAAAAATTTCTTTGAACTGAACAACAATAGTGACACAACTTATCAAAACCTCTGGTATATGGTAAAAGCAGTGTTTCAGGAGGCTAAAGTTCATAGCACTAAATGGCTACATCAAAAAGTCTGAAGAGCACAAATAAACAATCTAAGGTCACATTCAAGGAACTAGAGAAACAAGAACAAACCAAACCCAAACCAAGCAGAAGAAAAGAAATAACAAAGATGAAACAAGAACTAAATGAAACTGAAACAACAACAGCTATAGATAGAGAGAGAGAGAGAGAGAGAGATAGATGAAATGAAATGTTGGTTCTTTGAAAAGATAAAATTGATAGACTATTTAGACTATTAGTGAGATTAACCAAAAAAAGAAGAGAAGATACAAATAAGCTCAATTAGAAACAAAATGGAAGCTATTACAACCAATACCACAGAAATACAAAAGATCATTAAACTAGAAAATCTAGAGGAGATGGATAAATTCCTGGAAATATACATCCCTTCTACATTAAACCAGGAAGAAACAGAAACTCTAAACAGACCAATAACAAGTAGTGAGATTTAAACAGTAATAAAAAAAAATGCCAACAAAAAAAGTCAAGGGCCAAATGGATTCACAGCTGAATTCTATCAGACATTGAAAGAAGAATTGGTACCAATCTTACTGAAACTACTCCAAAAGATACAGAAATGGGGAATCCTCACTGAATCATTTTATGAAGCCAGTACCACCCTAATACCAAAATCAGGAAAGGACATAACAAAAAAAGAAAACTGCAGACCAATATCCCCAATGAACATATATGCAAAAATTCTCAACAAAATACTAGCTAACCAAATCCAACAGCATGTCAAAAAGAGAATCCACCATGATCAAGTGGGTTTTACACCAGGGATGCAGGGATGGTTTAACATCCTCAAGTCAATGAATGTCATGCACAACATAAACAGAATTAAAAACAAAAATGACATGATCACCTTAATAGACACAGGAAAAGCATTTGACAAAATCCAGCATCCCTTTATGACTAAAACCCTCAGCAAAATCAACATAGAAGAGACATACCTTAATGTAATCAAAGCCATCCATGACAAACCCACAGCCAAGATTACACTGAATGAGGAAAAGTTGAAAGCATTCCTTCTGAGAACTGGAACAAGACAAGGATGCCCACTTTCACCACTTCTATTCAACATAATACTGGAAGTCCTAGCTAGAACAATCAGACAAGAGAAAGAAAGAAAGGGCATCCAAATTGGTAAAGAGGAAGTCAAACTGTCGCTGTCTGCTGATGATATAATAATATACCTAGAAAATCCTAAAGACTCATGCAAAAAGCTCCTAGACCTGATAAATGAATTCAGTAAAGTTTCAAAATACAAAATCAATGTACACAAATTGATAGCACTGCTATCCACCAACAACGACCAAGCTGAGAATCAAATCAAGAACTCAATCCCTTTTACAACGGCTGCAAAAAAATAAAATAAAATACTTAGGAATATACCTAACAAACGAGGTGACAGATCTCTATAAGAAAAACTACAAAACACTGATTAAAGAAATCACTGACTATACAAATGGTAACACGTACATCCCATGCTCATAGATGGGTAGAATCAATATTGTGAAAATGATCATATCGCCAAAAGCAAGCTACCAATTCAATGCAACTCCCATCCAAATACCATCATCATTCTTCACAGAACTAGAAAAAAAAATCCTAAAATTCATATGGAACCTAAAAAGAGCCCACTTAGTCAATCAAGACTAAGCAAAAAGAACAAATCTGGAGGCATCACATTACTCGACTTGAAACTACAAGGCTATAGTTAACCAAACAGCATGGTACTGGTATAAAAACAGGCATGTATCATTGATGGACATTTGGGTTGGCTCCAAGTCTTTGCTATTGTGAATAGTGCCACAATAAACATACGTGTGCATGTGTCTTTATAGCATGATTTATAATCCTTTGGGTATATACCCAGTAATGGGATGGCTGGGTCAAATGGTATTTCTAGTTCTAGATCCTTAAGGAATCACCACACTGTCTTCCACAATGGTTGAACTAGTTTACAGTCCCACCAACAGTGTAAAAGTGAACAATGAAAACACTTGGACACAGGATAAGGAACATCACACACCAGGGCCTGTCGTGAGGTGGGGGGAAGGGGGAGGGATAGCATTAGGAGATATACCTAATGTAAATGACAAGTTAATGGGTGCAGCACACCAAAATGGCACATATATACATATGTAACAAACCTGCACGTTGTGCACATGTACCCTAGAACTTAAAGTATAATAAAAAAAAATTTAAAAAAATAGGCATGTAGACCAATGGAACAGAATAGAGAATCCGGAAATAAAGTCAAACACTTATAGCTAACTGACCTTCAACAAAGCAAACAAAAAACATTAAGTGAGGAAAGGATACCTAATTCAACAAATGATATTGGGATAATTGGCAAGCCACATGTAGAAGAATGAAACTGGATCCTCATCTCTCAGCTTACATAAAAATCAACTCAAGATGGATCAAAGACCTAAATCTAAGACCTGAAACCATAAAAATTCTAGAAGATAGCATGGGAAAAACTCTCTGTACATTGGCTTAGGCAAAGAGATATGGCCAAGAACCCAAAAGTAAATGTAACAAAACAAAAATAAATACATGGGACCTAATTAAACTAAAAAGCTTCTGCACAGAAAAATAGATAATCAGTAGAGTGAACAGACAACCCACAGAGTGGGAGAAAATCTTCACAAACTATGCATCTGACAAAGGATTAATATCCAGAATCTACAAGGAACTCAAACAAATCAGCAAGAAAAACAACAATCTCAAAAAGTGGTCAAAGAATATGAATAGACAATTCTCAAAAGGAGATATACAAATGGCCAACAAACATATGAAAAAATGCTCAACATCACGAATTTGCAGAGAAATGCAAATTAAAACCACAGTGAGATACAACATTACACCTGCAAAAATGGCCATAATTAAAAAAAAAAATAGATGTTGGCATGGATGTGGTGAAAACGGAACACTTTTACACTGCTGGTGGGAATGTAAAGTAGTATAACCAACCACTGCGGAAAACAGTATGGAGATTCCTTAAAGAACTAAAAGTAGAACTACCATTCAATCCAGCAATCCCGCTACTGGGTATCTACCCAGAGGAAAAGAAGTCATTATATGAAAAAGACACATTATATAAACATGCACATGCATGTTTATAGCAGCAAAATTTGCAATTGCAAAAATATGGAACCAGCCTAAATGTCCATCTATCAAATAAATGAAGAAAATGTGGTATATCTGTGTGTGTGTGTGTGTGTGTGTGTGTGTGTGTGTGTGTGTATAACTGCTTTTGCAGTAACCTAGATGGAGTTGGAGACCATTATTCTAAGTGAAGTATTAGGTTGGTGAAAAGCAATTGTGGTTTTGCCATTGAAATTGAGGCAAAAACCGCAATTATCTTTGTACCAACCTAAATAACTCAAAAATGGAAAACAAAATGTGGTACGTTCTTACTTATCAGTGGGACTAAGCTATGAGGACACAAAAGCATAAGAATAATATAAGGAACTTTGGGGCCTCAGGGGGAAGGGTGGATGGGGGTGAGTGACAAAAGACTACACATTGGGTACAGTGTACCCTGCTTGTGTGACAGGTACACCAAAATCTCAAAAATCACTAAAGAACTCATCTATGTAACCAGAAACCACCTGCTCCCCCAAAAACTATTGAACTAAATTTTTTTAAAAGTCAAAAAATAACAGATGCTGGTGAGATTGCAGAGAAAGGGGGATGCTTATACACCAATCAATCAATCAATCAATCAATTAACTTACGGGAAATTACATTGTCCAAAAAGTGTGGACTTAATATTTGGACCCACCCAATCTGCTCTGGAGACATTTCATAAAAACTCGAAAAACTGAACAAAAGACATAACAAAAAAATGTTAAATGCATCAAAGATATGCCAAAATAGTAAGGAGTTATCAGGTCAATATGTAAGCGAAGGAACTTTTGATAGGACAGCATTTGCCAAGTCCTCTGAACTTTAACAGTAGTTTCCAAGGCTTGTTGTGGCTCGGAAGACAGAAGACCAAATCCACGGTACACATTGATGAGGATTCTAAAAGGAGACCTTCCTCTCATAGAGCTGGGAATCCAAAGAGCTGTGCTCTCAGGGTAAGAGCAAGACAGACATAAACTGCCTCACCTACTCACACAGCCTGGGGATTGCTTTGACACTGAGCTGAACATCCACTAAATGGATTGGTAAGTGAATATGTGATGATATCGAGGGTTGGAAAGGGGGTGAAACAATAGATATTTACAGCTAGGTGAATGATATATTGAAATTATCACATTTGGAAAGCAGTTTGGCATTGCTTAGCAATCACTCTAGGTACAGAAATACAAGGATGTTGAGAGTGGCATTGTTTATAACTGTCCCAAACTAGAAGTGATGCTGACATGTACAACCATAAAATGGAAGAATAAATTGTGTTATAGTCATGCAATGGAATACCAGATAGCAACAAAAATTAACAAATTATAACCTCATTCAAAAAAATAAATATCCCAAATAAAGTACTAATGTAAAGAAAAGGCAAAAAAGCATATATAATTCCTTTCACATAAAATTATAAAATTCAGCAAAACTATATCATATTACTTAAGAATATAACTAGGTTATTAAAATATAAAGAAAAACAAGAACATGATTTTACAAAAGTCAGGAAAGTGGTTACTTCCAGGAGGGAGAGGAGTTACATTTGGGGAGAGGCAATGAAGGACTCCTTGTGTGCTATCTTGATCTAGTTAGTGATTACACATGTGTTCACTTTACAGCTTTACTGTAAAGTGTATAAATAATTTTATGCTCTTTTATGCAGGTATGATACATTTTTCAATAAAC
Organism: Homo sapiens; assembly: GCF_000001405.40. NCBI lineage: Eukaryota > Metazoa > Chordata > Mammalia > Primates > Hominidae > Homo > Homo sapiens. The sequence continues at coordinate 7,104,291 of NC_000011.10, read as the reverse complement.
ATTAAATAGAAAACTATGACAAAATAAATACTACTACTAGGATGAAGACGACAGTGGAGAAGGAGCAAGAAAAGGAGGAAAGATGAGGACACACACCTCTCTAACTTGAATTGTCATAATAATTGTGGAATCCTAGCTTTAGAACACCAAGAGAATGCTCTCTGTGTTGGCTGCTCTTAGTTCTACAGTTTTAATTTTCCTTATAGGCTTCTAGATTTCTAAAATGGCAATGTAAACTTTGAGGAAATCTAAAATGTCTCCTTCTGTCAGTGTTTCAAATATTTGAAAGGAACCAACACAGTCTCTGAAAAAGCCACCTTGATTTCCTACTGATATAACAGAGACACTCCTCCGTAGACATAATGAAAAATAAAAAAGATAATTGGACTGTAAAAATGCTCAGCACTGAAAAAGAGGGATCAAGCTGACAAATCCCAGCAATGTTTCACCCTCTGCCACCCCAAGTAAACTGACTTGTTTCCTAGAAAGAAAAAATCATCGAAAAATCTATAATTCACACATTCAAAAAGATTGGGGGGGGACATTACGATTTATGAAACTAAAATAGAAAATTATGAAAAAAGCACAATATGAGATCAGGAAATATTTTTTCAAGACTTGAAAAGCATAGTTGCTGAATTATTTTAATGGAGTCAGCAAACAGAAGATTTGTCAGGAGAAAAAATTGAGATAATGAACTAGATATAGATACATTTTAATGAAAAACTAAACCTCAAGAGAAATAACTCAGTATCACCCAATATAGACTTAACTGAGGAGAGAAAATGTTAGCAACATGGAGGACAAATCAAGAACATGGAATATGCATGTAAAGACCATCCCCAAAAGAGAAACCAACAGAAGAAAAGCAAAATCAATGAAATAAAAGACAAACATGCCTGAAACTAAAAGACTGCTTGAATTTGGGGGATGAAATGTCTAACTTCAACTAAAAGCAAATATAATTTTTTAAGAGGGCATAGCTTCATAAAAGTTGTGAATGTTAAGGATTAAAAAAATAAATTCTCACTAGAAAGAAAAGGTGAAAGGAAAAATAGTGTCCTGCTGGCCTCAGATTTCTGCACCATAACAAAAAATGCCAGTTTAGCATTGGCTAAAGAATCTTAAAAACGACAGACATACAGTAGGAACGTTTTCTATTTGATCAAGCACACATTCATTAGAAAATCTGCTGAAAGATATTACCAACCATATAAGAACTCAGAAAATCTACCAACCACATTTCCATTCTTAAAAGTTATTACTGGTTCTATTTCAGCCAACCACAAAATCAATTGTTAACATTTTAACTTAATAAAAGGGAAGATGGTATTAAAAAAAAATTGGTAGTAAGTATTGAAAACAAAATTTAATCTATGTAATTTTAAAATATCCAAATGGAATTGAATGTAATTTGTCACTATTTTTGGCAGAGCATCTATAACATAAATTGTAAAAGTTTAAAATCCCAATGATTTCATTCAAAACTGCCAAAGGGAGATGGGAAGAAACTAGGAAACTGATACATTATAGTTTTCTTTTTAAAAATTGGGGTGGGGGGCAAAAATACTTTCATTCTTGACATTGAAAGCATAGGTCCTTCCTCATTTTAAAAAGTTAAATGTAAATAATCATGTTGTCAGCAAATAATTATATTTTAATATTATTTATTCCTTTACTTCCCTTTGTAACTTGCTTTTTTTCATTTTCTGACATTCTAGATCAATCATAAATTTCTCATTTCTTACTTCAGATTCCTTCTTACTATTAAAATTTCTGTCAGCTGATACCTTGAGATTGATACATTTTGCCATGTTCTACATTTGGTTTACCAAGAGTTTGTATCAAAAGCGGATATTGAATTTTTATTAATATTTCATGGGCGTCTATGGAGATGCTCATGTGACTTTTTTTTGGTCTACCGATATAAATTATTAATAAGTTTTACAAAACCACATTCCTATTTGTTCATGATATTCTTCAATACTTTGTGTGATCCAACTCTTACTATTATTTAGAATATTTTCTTACCTATATTCATGGGTAAAAAGTGTTTATAATTTTCATGTTTTCATATCTGCCAGATTTTGATAGCAAGTTTACACTGGCTTGTAAAATGAACTTAAATATTGTCTATCTTTTAAAATATACTTCAGTGATTTATATAACAGGGAAATTATTTTATTTTACTTATTTGCAATCTAACCAAAGTAAGCATGCTTTCAGAGAATTCTTTCACAGATTTAAAATTGCTTACATGGTTATTACCCTATTTATATATCCTACTTATCCTTGAGTCAATTTCTATGAATTATATTTTTCCATTAAAATATCCATTTTTATGGAAATCAGGGAGGAAGAACTCAGGCAGAGCTTGGCTGATAACCTTAGTTGAAGATAGAAAGACAACAGTTCAGAAGGGAAAAAAGGTGCTACCATTTGCAGGCCAGAGTAACAGAGAAAAGAGGCTGCACTAAGAAAAAACTCCAGACATCTCCAGAGAGTCCACCTAGAATATTTAGCCAAGTATTGATTCATGCAAATGTGTGAGGAAGCTATCTGAGACTGGGGAAAGAGCAACCCAAAATGATTAGGAGGAGCAGTACCTGTCCCTCACTAGGGCCAAGAATAGTGCTTGTTGCCATAGTACTGGATTAGCCCTAGATTGAGTACCGCTTCACCGCTATTTTTAATTTGATAGTTATTGTTCTGGTTAGCCAGCACTTACATCCTTAAGGAGCTGAGGACTGGTTAATTCCATCTCTCCTGGATATCTAGAAACATTTATAAAATCAAATGAGTGTTTCAGTAAAGCACACCCCTCCCGCGAGGATCCTAAATCTAGCTTTGTTCTAATCCTTCCTAAAACAAATGAAGGACAGAGGAGTTATTCCAAATATATTAGTTATATGTGGAGTGTTTACTCCACTGGAAATAATAAAAGTAAATAAAGCAGTGTTATGACTGAGGTCATAAAATCCATTTAGTGAAAACTAATATTACTAAACAATTTTAGAATATCAAACATTCAAATATATTTATGACTTCCTTAAATCAGAGAAATGGTGTTTCTTCAACACTTCTACAAAGAAATTCTTCAATTCAATGTTAAGTATTTTTGCAGTTCTACTGTCAAAAATATTTAACTGGACATAAAAGAGAAAACATGTAACAGTTTATGCAGATCCTACTTCACTTCTGCCTTCTTTTCAGGTTCACTTCTAGTCTTCAATTTTGCTTCTATTCCAAAGCAGAAGCGTATTTTCTGCTTCCAGGATGAAGTGTTTTCATTTGTACTCATATGTGAGTTGGATTGCAATTTCTAGTTAGTGTTTTTCTTCCTCACAAGGCTGAGAAATAAATCCTCAAAGATAGAGATCATAATTAGTGTCTCATATTTGCATTTCTACCCTTCAGAACCATGCTCAGCCAGTAGTATATACTGGTCTATACTAAATGAGTGAACAGAAGGCTGAGGACAACGCCAAGCACACAGTGGTTCCCTGTCACGAGCCCCTTCATTCCGCCTCAACGGAACATTTTCATGGAATGAACATTTTCGTGGAAACCAGTAAGCATCTGAAAAGTGGAACTGCATTTCCAGGCTGTCTAAATACCCAGAGTGATTACTTTCCCAAGAACGTTTCCCCTAATGGAAAATATAAACATTATGGTTTGTTTTCCCAGATCTCTGATTTTGATAGGGACCAACAAAATTGTAGCCACTGTAGAAGGTTTAGAATCTCATACAAATACAGAATAAGGTCTACAAGAAAAGGCTTATAACAATTAAATTTCCAGATACAATGGAAGGCTAAAACCACATACACTGTCTATGTATTTGTGGCCACATAATAAGACAAAACACAAATGAAAATAAGAACATTATGATGATTAAGTTCATCAGCACAAATTTGAGACTAGAGATAAAATCATATTATATATAATTTTCTGGTGTTACTGATAAAGATAGCTGATGGATAAAACAGAAGACAATATCATCTTGTAACGGGGAAATCAGGACATCTTTCAGTTTACAATCTCATACCAGATAGGAGTCAATGAATTGCTGCCTGTGAGGTAGTTGAAGGATTCAGGTAAGGGCATGATTAAACCAGGGAATGGAACACTGAGAATGGTTTAACCTCAAGTTATACCCTGACAACTGCCACTAGAAAGCAGCCATTGTGAAGGAAGTATGCCCCAACATTCTGACAAAGCTGAGCTTAACTCTGGATTTGATACCAAACAACACTATAGATTTTGTTTTTAAAAGCACACATATCAGTTCCAATTCAAGATTGATTGTGAGATTTCTTAATTCAAAACAACTGTCAAGTTAAGTGATAATATGCTAACTGTAAGGAAGCTAATGGTCAAAATAATTAAAAATAGTCAGTACCCAGCAAAGAACGCCATACCAAATATCCAGGATGTCCTCATGTCCTACCCATGTATCTTTTCCATGGAGGAAGTACAAAGAGGGAGTTATAAAAAGGTATTAACATATTGGATGAAACTAGATGTTGTGTGGGCTTTATCTTTGTTAAGTAATCTATACACTAATTTTTAATGTATTTCTGCTTCTCATTACATATTTTTCTATAATATGCATGCTTATTAGAGAGTGAATACTCCTTATTTATTAATTTTTCCTAAAACTTTAGGGTGAGAACTGAGCTACTTAGATTGATATCATAAAAGAGAGATCTGAGCTTTTATGCTATGGCATAAAAGAAATAAACTGCCATATTGTAAAAGGACATGTGAGAGGAGCACATGGCAAGGAATTGTGGGAGGTCCCTAGGAACTGACAGCAGCTCCATAGCTGAAAACCAGCAAGTCCTATAACCACATCATAATGAATATATGATAAATTATTCATATATATAATAAATGAATAAACTTTGAGGCATTTAGATGTAAACAAAATTTTAATCTTTAGGTAATAAAATTTATCAATATATAACTTTTGATACCTCCTTTACTGTTGGGCTTAGAAAAATTTTCCAAAACTCAATTATATAAAAACACAAATAGATCTTCTTCTAAACTTTTTGTTGTTTCTATTTTTACATTTAAAAAGTTAATCTGGCTGAGCACAGTGGCTCACTCCTGTAATCTCCAGCACTTTGGGAGGCCGAGGCAGGCGGATCACCAGCCTGACCAACATGATAAACCCCGTCCCTGCTAAAAATACAAAAATTAGCCAGGTGTGGTGGCACATGCCTATAATCCCAGCTACTCAGGAGACTGAGGCAGGAGAATTGGTTGAACCCGGGAGGCGGAGGTTGCAGTGAGCCGAGATCACACCACTGCACTCCAGCCTGGGTGACAGAGCGAAACTCCATCTCAATTAAAAAAAAAAAATTAATCCACAATTTTGCAAGTTGAAAAGAGTTCTATGGATGGATGGTGGTGATGGCAGCATAACCATGTGAATGTACTTAATGCCACTAAACTTGTACACTTAAAAATGGCTAAGATGGTAAATTTTGTCATATGTATTTTACCACACTTAAAAAAAAAAGTTAAAATCCTACCTAAAAAAAGTTAATCCACCTAGAACTCATTTTGGTGTATAATGATCAAAATCATTAGGACTTTTTTCCAAAGTGGTTAGCCAATTAAATCAGCATCAGTTATTGAATTACTTTTCCCACCAATTTGAATGCTTATATATACTTGGATATACTTCTGGTCTTTTCAACTGTACATAACTTGCAGTACCTGATTATATGGGGATTTCCAGTTAAAAGCATAAGCAGCACCTAGCCTAAATCCACAGACCCTAGAGTTCAAGTTCCAAGGGGCAGGTTCAAGAAAGGAAACATAAAGCACCAATCCTTGAGCTTTTAGTGACATCTAGTGGACTGTTATCATATGGTAACTTCTGTTCCGTGTCAGGAAGCATGCTTTCCTCCACTCAGCTTCTTAATCAACTAGGGCAATTTTAAATACAAATAAAAATGCAAGCCTTAGTATGTTTAGATGGCTCTCTCCCTCCAACCTTTCTCTTCGGTCCATCTCTCAGGTGCCAAACTGCAGCTCAGATAATCACTCCCATCTTCAGAAGTTTCAATAGTTTCCATGTAAATTAGCAGAGATGGGATATAAAATCAACAAGATGAAGACACTCCTAAAATTAATTACAAATAGAAACAAATGAACCTAGCTGTATTTAAAGTGGATAACATACACAAATGAAAGAGGAGTTTCCCTGTTTCATGGAATATCTTGAAATTTTACCACCTCTGGAAAGCCTCCTCATCAGAATTAATTGGTTTGCTTAGCACATTGCCCATGCCTATTTGATAACATTTCTTGCTCTGTTTTGCATTTTAGGTAGTTTATGCAGAAAAATGTTACCCACACTAAACTATGAGTGCCTGAAGGATAAAGAGGGTCTGATTCATCTCAGATTCAAACAACCCTGATACCTTTAAAAGCTACTTTATCTGTGAACTTGGCTCTGAGACTTTAAAGGGGGTATCAGTAGTTACTCCCAGGGCATTAATCCAGCCAATACTTGTCTTTTTCCCAACTTCTTCATTTCATCTGTTTTTTTCTTACTAGTTTGACCTTGAACTGATCTCACATTATTTGCCTCTCCTATTTGTTGATTCACATTCTGTGTTTCTCATTTCCCCTCTCCTGGTAATCAACCTCAAGATATGCTCTCTTAAATTAGTGTCTGTTAGTAATTCACCTGCATTCCTTCACCTTTATTTATATAGCACAAACTCCCAGCGAAAACTACCTTGATGTCAAAAGAGAATAGGTATAAGAAAATCAGTCTTCATTCACTGAGGGTTACTATGTGCTACATGCTTTTTTATATATTATCTCATTTAATTTTCACAGAAATTTAGCTCTTATACATCCTTCACATCTTAGTTCAATTATCACTTAAGGATGCATTCTCTAGGTGTCCTATATATAGTGGTCCCCAAGCTTTTTGGCACCAGGGACCAATTTTGTGGAAGACAACTTTTCCAGGGACCAGGGAGTCGGGGGAGATAGTTTTATGATGATTCAAGCACATTACATTTATTGTGCACTTTATTTCTACTATTATTACATTGTAATACATAATGAATTAATTATACAACTCACCATAAGTAGAATCAGTGGAGGCCCTGGGCTTGTTTTCCTGCAACTAGATGGTCCCAACTGGAGGTGATGGGAGACAGTGACAGATCATCAACTATTAGACTCTCATAAGGAGCATGCAACCTAGGTCCCTCACATGTGCAGTTCACAATAGGGCTCATGCTCCTGTAAGAATCTAATGCTGCTGCTGATCTCAAAGGAGGTGGAACTCAGGTGGTAATGCAAGTGATGGGAGCGGCTGTAAATACAGATGAAGCTTTGCCAGCTCGTCCACCACTCAGCTCCTGCTGTGCAGCCCAGTTCCTGGCCCAGGAGTTGGGGATCCCTGTTATACTACATCAAGCTTTTAAAAACATGTCTCATAGTGCTATGTATCTCTCTTTCATAGTGCTTGTCATGGTTAAAATGTTGCTTTTTGTATGACAATTTAACCAGTCTATCTTACCTTTTGAACACTGTTCCATGTGAGGATTAACAATGTCTACTTTGGCTCACCAATATGTCTCCATTGCTTAGCTAAGAGACAAGGATTAATTTATCCAAAACTAATCCTCAGTAGATTGGCATCCTGGAAAGGATTGGCCTTCTGCAAATTTCACTGAAAGCTGCTTTTAGCCCATTTTTAATGCAGTCAATCATGGTCAGCTGCACAGCCTGGGCCACAGTTACCCCTGCAGCTATAATGTTAGTACATTCTCAATCTTGAATGCTGATGTAGCAAGTCCTGCCTCTAGTTTGCTTTGCTGCCATACAGCTTCAATTACAAGACTTTGACTCCAGCCCTTTACCACCTTAGATAAAAGTATTATTCACAAAAAACATGTTCTTCTCAGCCCCATTTATATTCTACTGTCTCTCCCTTCTCCAGCTGTTGACTGCAAGGTTCAGTGACCCATTGTCAACCTGTCTAGGGCAGACTGATGTTATTATCAAGTCCTCAACTCCTGCAAATCCACAACCACGAGCACTGAAGTGACAGGGTTATAGCTATTTCTGCCATGACATATTGCTATTATATCCTAACCCCTAATTATTCCAGGGTAGGGGCTGGAATCTCCTATATTATGCAACTCAAAAGCCCCACAGCCCAAATGTGGGAGTTCCTCTCCCAAAGCTGAAGTCCAGTCATGCTAAATCTCTGTGTATTCCCACAGAATGCATCTGGGCAACTAGCAAGTACTACTCCACTGTCTCTGTGAATCGTCCTTAATGAATATTAATCTGGCCAATAAGTATGATTGCATTCTTGTCCCTATTTTATAGATAAGGGAAAAAAACAAAGAGCAACCTGACCAAGATCATTCACTAACTGTGATCTTGGTGCTGCTTTTCTGTTTGCCTTAGTTGGCGTGATATTAGCACAGCGTTTGCCATTTGGTGGGTACTACATAAATAAAAATTAGATTCAATGAATAAATGGATAGATAGACAACCAATCTCATGAGGGGAGCATTCTTGACCCTATTTTATAGGTAAGGGGAAAAAAACACAAAGAGTAATTAAGTAACCCGACCAAGATCACAGTTGGTGAATGGTGGACACAGGATTTAAATTCAGGTCTACAAGATTACATATTACTTATTCTAAATTACTACACTCTTCAACTCAGAGATTTCTCTAGGTGCCCCAAAGCCTGAGTCAACTGTAAATAACAATAAAAACAGCTACATTTTTTAAAAATCTAGGCACTGCACTAGGCACTTTATTTCTGGGGCAAAATTGAGTCTAAGCCAATTATGCCAGAGAGCAATAATTCTAAACCCTAACAGATAAGAAGGAATCAAGCCTTTATAATAACATCAACCTGCTTTACTTCTGACTGGTTAGGAATGGGGCACTGAGCCCATGGTGGAAGTTCTGGTCCCCTCAACTGAAGAGGTGAAGAAGAAAGAGGCAGCAGAAAATTAATGGGGACTATAAAGAGTCAAATATATCTCCAAGATTTCAAGCTGGATGAGTGCAGCTTGAGTAAATACAATTAAAACTCTCAAGTGTACTTTTTCTGAAGACTTTTGAGTATAGAAGCAATTTTACTAGGAATATAAATGATAAATTCCAAAGGAAAGTCTGTGCTACTGCTTTGCAGAATGCCGTAATACTACCACTTAACGAACCCCACTGCATTCCAGGCACTGTGCTGGGTGCTGTATATGAGTCATCTTATTTAAAACTTCCATAAATATGATGAAACTGTATTATCACCACACATGAAAAAAACGGAAGGTCTAAAGTTTTAAGAAAGTTGTCCAAGCTACATGAATAACAGAATGAGAGCTTCTGCATATGATCAAAAGATTCTCTCTCTACTATAACAAGCAGCCTTCAAACCTGAGAAAGCTTTACTATTTCTTCCTACTGTTTTCTCTAAAATTTTCATAATAGGTCCTCATATTTTTTATTCCCCTTGAGCACTTTAATAAATATGATAGTGAGATGCATTCAACAAGGACATCATTGCTATGTCGTTCCTCTAATTTTCTGTGCTTGATATGTTCATTCAATGTCACTCACAAAATATTTATCAAAATCATTTTAAAATCATTCTTAGATGTGCTACACTGTAAGAGTAATTAGCTTCAGAATAAACTTCACCACAAATAGAACATGTAGGTTCTGAAAGAAATTGCCATGAGCATTGGATATCATGTGTGCACAGCAAGAGCAATACAGCCTTATTTTGCTTGGTGAGTTCTTAAACACATTCTAAAGAGGAAAACATTTATGAGAACACAGTAACTATCCCCAGAGAGAACATTTATATGGAGGAAAAGAAGGAAAGTTACATCACTTTTAAAATAAAGGCTAAAAGGGAGGGGGCATGGAAACCACATAAAGGTTGAAAAATGTTAGAGGCCCCAGTTAGGAGGAACACTAGCAGAGAAGCCTTCTCTATCTCACTTGGCCTAAGGCAAGGGGAAAAGGGAACTATTGCCCTATGGGGGAAAAAAAAAATTCTACCTCTAGCACTCTTTAAGATAGTCACAGGAGCCACAGTAGAATTCCGGTTGTGATCAGAAACAGAAGATGTTCAGCCTTCATCTTGTGGGGATTCGGTAATGCTGTCAGTTGCCACATGGACAATTTGAATACTCCTGAAACCATTTTGGAAGGAAATATGGAGGAGATGGGGTTTCAGGAGTAATCGGAGAAAAGCACATGATAGAAAATATAAAGGTTTTCACTGAGATACAAATTCCTTAAATTTTACTCAGTGGGTGAGTTCTGGAAAACATGTGATAAGCTCTCTCTCTCTCTCATCATTATGAAAGTGATTATAAAGAGTTCTCAATTGACTAGACCTCTGGCATATTTTCCTACAAAAATATTTCCAGTAAAGAAATATTGAGACTGTTGTATTATATATGTATGAGAGATCTACAACCTTTGTATGCTATAATCTCTAAAATTAACTCACTGAACTCCAGTGAGTCTTTATTTTCCTAATGTTAATACTTTGTTTTTATTAATAGTTTCAATATTCAGGAGATTACTCTTCAGAAACAGCTTGTTGATTGGAAAACGTTTTTCATCGCTATTACACTTCAAAACAGACAACAAAAGGAAAAACTGCACCTTCCTCTAAGATCTGGTTCTCAGGTATTGCCGGTTCTACCCTTGAGATTATGGTAAACAAGCTGTGGGCACAGTCCGAGATAGAAAGGTTTTAAAAACTCATTTAAATAGAATAAGGCATCACCCATATTGATGAAAGAACAAAGCCAGGAGAAAGAATCATTGCCAAGATAAGAATGTTGCAGCTGAGTTTCAGCATATTAATAACAAACATTTTTCAGTAATTACATGCTGGGTGGTATGCTAAGCTCTATTTTTTAATATTAAAATGTGTATTATAAAATATTTTGAACTTACGGAATAAGAGATGCCAATGTACAGACCACAGAAATTTAAGATGTTAAACTTGTCAGTTTTGCTTAAGAGCCATCACTTTTAAAGACATAAAACATTCAGCTAAAGTTCACTCCTCCTCCCATCTTTTTCCTTTCCTCTTAACTCTAAATATCCTGATTTTTCATGCTATCATTCAAATCCTATTTTGTTTACTATACCTATATTTATGCGATTCGCCTTTTTCACCAAATATTAATATTTTCATATTTATCATAATGATACATGTAGACCTGGCTGATTCATATTAGCTTCTACACTGAGCTTCATCATAAATCTCAGTTGATCCACTCCAGGTAGACTACTTTTGTTGTAAACATTCAAAGGGTGCTTTACTGACCAATCTTGTGCGTATCTCCTTGTGAATATGCACAAATTTCTTTAAGTCCATTCCTTGAAATGGAATTTCTGGGTCGTAAAGTATGCATCCTCCAACTTTACTAGGCATTGCTAAAATTATCTCCAAAATGATTGTATCAATTTATACATCTATCAAAAATGTAAGTCTTTGTCCATTTTTTTCTTGTTTTTTTCTTATTATTGATTTTTAAGCATTCTTTTGGAAGTCATTTCAATGTAAATATATTCTTCCAATATTATGGCTTGAAATTTCACTTTGTTAATAGTCACTTTTATCATTAAAATACCTTAATAATAATATGGAAAATTTTATCAATATTTTCCAAGTTTGTACTTTTTGTCTTAAAACGGAATTCTCAACCCCACCGTGGTGTATACATTTCTTCACTTTCTTCTAAGTGTTTAAAAATTTCCTCTTCACATTTAAATCTTCAAACCATCTGGAATGTATTTTTGTGTATGCTGTTATGGAATCTCACTTTTAACAAATAGTCTTTTTTTTTTAGAATTTCATTTTGCCACCAATGACTTTTAAAATTACCTCTGTTGCATAATGTGACAGAAGTGGACTTGTTTCTAGGATCACAGTTTTGGTCTATTGGTCTGTCTATCCTTGTTTGCTGACATCATACAATTAAATTGCTAGAGCTTTGTAATAAGTCTTGGTATCTGTAGGATGAGTCCTTCCTAACAACTGTTCATCTGAATTGATTTGGCTTTTCTTGCTCTTTATTCCACCATGCAAATTTGAAGATTAGCTATATCTCCCATTAGTGTCTCTTTTCTAAATACTTGTTTCTTAATAATTTGTTGGTGGTGAAATGAAGCTATTGATTTTTTGTGGTTGGTTTACCAAATCTTTTATTATTCCATCATTGATCAACACAAATAAATGGTGTTATTCGGGAAGAGGGGAGGGGAGCTGTGTGAAAAAAATCATGAAGTGACTTCATTTGAAGTTGTATTGTTTTTCCAAATTAATTTGATGAGGTTGAGAATAGTTGATAATGAAGTCCTCCCAACCATGAGTATATCAATCTCTTATAGTTCTTCTTTTATGTCCTTTAATAAAGATTAATTTTTTCATAAAGATCTTACATATTTTTGTTAGATTAATTCCTGGATCATTTTTTAGCTATTTCTTGCATTTGCTCTTCTGAGCCACTAGTGTGTCCTCTCCTTTAATGCACCTACTTTATTATTGTCAAAAAAAATCATGTTGTTAAAAGTTGTGTATGTGTGTTGCATTCAGATCCCTTTAAGTACTTTTTGCTGTTGTTCCCTTATCTGTTTCCTCCAGCAATTATTACACTGAACATGGGTCATCAACCTTAACCCCATCCTTCTTTCTCTGGTTGCTACAGTCCCTTGACTGTACAATTACCTTTCTCACAGATAAATTGGGGAATCCACAGGTGCTGAATGGAAAAGATGTTTAAGAGGAAACTTACGTTCCTCTTGACAGATCTTGGAGAAAGACTCTAATCTTTTTCTGTTGAAGCCCTTCTCCCCACCTTAAAACTAGGAAACAACCCATCCAACCCCTCGCCTTTTGTGGACAGGAAAACCAGCCCCTTCATGCCAGTTTGAGATCCTCAGAGGTTGAAACGCCAAGCTCTTTCAGGGATTCTCTGACCTTTGCTCCTGAGCTCTGAAGCTGCTCACTTTTGATTCCTCCACCCCTAAGGGAAGAAGCTCAATTCTCTCCACAGGACTCAGTGGCTGGCTCTAGAGCCAAAGGCAAGTAGCTTGGAGTTAGGAATGGAAGCCATTACGGTCCCCAAGTCGACCACTGATTTATTTTCTACTTGTTTCTTAATAAATTTGTTGGTAGTGAAAATGAATGCTATCAATTGAAGGATTTGGGATTTGCTTGTTTTGTAGCTTTGTGGTTGGTTGGCCAAACCTTTGATATAGTATTCCACTGTTGTTCAAAACATAGATAGTACTTTTGGGAGTGAGGGGACAGGTGATCCTGTAGATTCCCAAAGAAAAAGCAAAAAGGCAAAACATGGCCAACATTATCCATTTACTTTTCAGATTTACTGAGTGAAAATAATTTTCTTTACATAAACATTTGATCTAAATCACTTTTGTTGTTGTTGTTGCTGGTTGTTTGCTTTTTAATACTGGAAACAAAGATTCAGTTTGAAAGATACCCTGAAATCTTAAGAGTAGCATACACCAATCCCTCCCACTCTCCACCCAAAATCTAGTTGGTTTAAATGAGCAGAATGATCCGTTTTTCCATTTTAGGTGAGCAGATGTTTATCAAAGATCTTAGAACTGTTTGCCTCATTTATCAAGAAAATTTACAAGGGAAGAAGCCATTAATCGAATTTCTACTTGTAAATGTAAGAAGACTAGTACTCAGGTTCATATACTTTTAACAGGAGCTTGTTGAAAGAAACGTTAACAATTCCAAAACTAAACTAAACGAATTTTAAGTTTTTTCTCCCAAAAGCATAAAAATGGAGACGATCTTAACAGGAAATTCTTAAAAGGTAAAAACAACTCTTCCTTGTACTAGTCCTTGGGTAGTTACCATACAACAGGTTCTTCTTTTTGTTAGTTTCGTTGAAAAGGGATTTTTGGTCCCAAGTCTGTTCCTGCTTAGTATCTGCTCCGGCCTCCTCCTCTCTCCAAGCGGCCTCCTAGACGGCCTCCGCCCCTGGGCACCCTGCAGCCTGACCGGCTGTAAGAATCACGCTGGGGAGGGCAGCCCCTTTCCATGGACAGAGAGAGCCCACGATCTGGTCTGCCCACCCGGTGTCGGCCCCTCGAGTAGCGGTCGCTCCGGCCATAACTGCTGCTGTAACTGTCGCGGCCGCCGCTGTAGGCATCGGGTGAGTAGCCCCGGTACTCCTCGTAGCGGCCTCCTCCTCCGTAAGATGGCGGTGTCCCCCGTCCTGGGGCGGCGCCGCGCAGCTCTCCGTAGCTCTCAAAGGGCTCTCGATGGGAGCCTCTGCTCAGATGATCCCCGTAGTCACGGTCGCGACCTCCGTAGCCGTCTCGGTCGCTGTAGCCTCTCAAGGGACAGTCGTCCCGGACACTGGAGTGGCCGTAATCGCGGTGGGTGTACTCTCCGGGCGAGGGGGCAAAACCCCGGGGTTCGCGGTAGTCTCGGCTCGAGTAGCCGTCTCTGGACGAGTAGCCCTCATCCCGCGGGCCCAGGTAGGGGTCGCGGCGCGGGGGCAGCGGCTCCCGGCGCGGTGGGCCTGAGTAGCCGTCTCGCCCCCGCACGGCCAGGGCCCTCCCGCGCATTCCACCGCCGCTGCTGCGAGCCGGGCCCGACGGCGCGGCCCTCTTGGGGGGTGGGCCGACCCTGCGCGGCGGCGGCCCACGCTTCATGGGCATCGGGGCCCTGGAGGGCCGCAGGTCGAAATCCGCCGTGTAGCCGCCGTCATCATCGGGCCCGCCCCGGGATGGGGAACGCCGCGGGCCGCCGCCACCCCCGCGGGTTCCGCGCAGGAACCTCGGGCGACCGCGGCTGCGGGGAGGCGGCGGGCCCCGCCGGCTGCTCTCGAACGCCGGTTTGGTGGCCTGGGCCACCTTGATGGCCTTACCATCCAGGGACTTGCCGTTCATGTCTCTGGCGGCGGCCTTGGCGTCTGCGGGGCTTTCAAAGGTGACGAACGCGAAGCCCCTCGACTTGTTGGTTTCTCGGTCTTTCATCAGGAGCACCTCGACGATGCGGCCATACTTGCCAAACTCGGCTTCGAGGGCTTTCTCGTCGGTTTCGAGGTTGAGGCCCCCAATGAACAGCTTCCCCGGGCGATCCGCTTCAACCATGTTTGCCGGTCGAACGGTCGGTCAGTGGCGGTGGGAGGCGGTGAGGCGGCGCCAGTCGCAGCCTTCGAGCTCGCTCGTCGAGGGCGGCTCCTACTGGTCAGGCGGCGCCTAGTCGCCGAGTCCACGGAACCGCAGCCGGAGCCCCGCTGCAGGGCGCGCCCCTGCTGCCTGTGATTGGTCGGCTGTTTCCAGAGGGCCAATTCGCCGTCGGGAAAGTCGGCAGTTTTGTGTCTCCTTTTCAGTCTTTAACTTCCTGTTCACCTGACCCGGTCTTAACGGCTTCAATGGCCTCCTGAAAGCTCAGGGAAAAGCCGTTAGGTGGAAAAAAATTTTTTTCTATTAGTTTTAATGAGAACAATTGTAATGATCCCAAACCTAAGCTACCCAAACCATTTTCAAACAGAAAAAAATAGTATGAATTTTTTAAATTACTAAAATTATTAAGTTAAAAATCATTTTTCAATTATTGAAAAATAGAGTAATAACAGTTAACAAGTTTAAATTTTACCTTACTGATCTTTTTAAACTAATCAGCTTTTAGCCTCGTCTATCCTCTGTTTTGATTTTATTTGGTGCTATTGTCTTTATTCTTTCTACATTTATTGGATTTATTGTTTATATTATTTTGTTCTAATTTTTTAAATAAGACACTTAGCACATTAAGAGTTTAAAAAATGTTTCTTCTAATTGTTATATTTAAGGTTAAAACTTATTCTCTATGCACTGGTTAATATCATGCCTTGAGCTGTAATATATGTTGTTTTCATTGTTGTTCAGTTCCTAAGATTTTCTCATCTTTGTTATTTCCTTTTTGGACCATGTATTAAAGAAGTATGTTTGTAAATTTTCAAACATATGTGCCTGTTGGTTATTTTTTAATATGCTCTGTACGATATCCATTGTTTTTCGTTGAGACTTGCTTTGTGACCTAATATGGTGTAATTAATGTTCCATATATACTGAGCAGAAAGTGTATTCTCTAAATGTTGGACAAAGTTCTTTCTTATTTTCTGATATTTAAATCTTCCCTTTTCTAACTTGTTTTTTATTTGATAGAATTGCCAAACACTAGAACTGTCTTAAAATTTACCATAATTGTGGATTTGTAAATTTCTCTTTGTCTTTATGTCTGGTTTTTGCTTCATGTAATTTAAGGTTATATTGTGAGATATATAAAAATTGAGAATTGCTACGTATTTCTGGTGAATACCTTTTTTATGTAATGATCCTCCTTATTCGTAAAAACCTTTTTACCTTAGTCCATTTTGTGTGATGCTTATAACTTTCGGTACTTTTGCAATTTCTTCCTAAATCTTTGCTATCAGCCAAACCTTTCCTTCTTCCTTTTTTCCATCTTTCTTGCCTTTTCTTGTAGTAAGTGATTTGTCTTTGTTTCTTTTTCCTCCACTATGGAAGAAGTTATGCCTTCTATTTCTACTTTTTCGAATGACTGCCCTTAATGTTTTTATTGAATGCTAACTTAAAAATGCTAAGTTTATAAATTTACTTATAAAATCAAGTTTACTGCTTAATTTTACGTGTGTATATCCATGTAACCATGACCCACATTAAAATCTATAACATTTCCATCACTCCAGAGGGTTCACTTGTGCCACTTACTAATCAAACCTAACTGAGATATGCTCTCCTGGCACAATAAGACCAGATAGCCACACTGAGGTTTGCAGCAGGAAAAAGGAGGGCATTTATTTGCAGGGCTCCAAGCAAGGAAGACCAGGCAGCTACTCTTAAATTCTGACCTCCATGATGGCTTACAGGTAAAGGTTTTTAAAGGAAAATGTAAATTTCAGGAAAGCAGAAGTTACAGACAAAATCATAAGTCAATACATGGAGGTTACACATTGGTATTGGCCCAAAGGAGAGATATCTCTTGAAGTGGGGGGCTTACAGGTCATAGGTAGATTCAAAGATTTTCTGATTTGCAGTTGGTGAAGGAAGAGAATTTGCAGTCAGCAGAAAAGAATGAGCTTTGGCTCCTGAGTGTGACTCCATCCAGGCCCCTCAGGAAGATATTTAGAACAAAGAATGGTTGTCAGAGTTTAGTCCCCAGTTCCCTCTTATCTGAGGTCTACCTGTCTGTGGAACTGTTTGGTGGGATCTGGGTTTCTGAAAGACAACTCAGGGACATATGTTAAGACATTATATTTAGTGTCTATAGGGGAACAAAAAATCTCCTGACTCTTAACTTCCATGGTTATTGTTTTAGGTTCCTATTACTTTCTTGCTTATCAAGTTCCTTATTCATTTAAGGAATCTGATGAAGTTCCTTAACTTCATTCCTCAGGGCTAGCTAGATGCATGGAATTTCCTTTAAAGGAACTCCAGATTTTCCTTTATTTCCATATTTGTGGGAGAGGGGTTGCAGAGGCCCCTGAAACAGGGTCTCTGCTCTGCAAAAAATGATAGGATCAAGATCAAAGTTTGGGCAAAAATTGGAGGGCTTACACAGGCTTTATGTGAAATGATTGTGTCTCTTTTACCTGAATGTATTCTGGGAATGGATATTGTGTCTGACTGGGGAATGTTTCCCTACCTAGTGCTATAAAACACAAGGCATATAAATTCTGCCTTTAAGCAATATTAATTATATTTGCTAAATAGAAATGAACAAGATTGTTGAAGCCCACACAGTATAGAATAAAACCTGAAGTGCTAGGATGCACAAATTCTGTGCATAGTGGACCTGTGTGGAGGGTAGATTAGGGCTTGTGGCAAAAGCCTGGAGGGCCTTCCAGCAACAACTACAGGTACTTTGAAGTGGAGAATTTACATCTGAGTCAATTACTAGCTCAATCTCGGACATTAATTGAAACTTCCCCATGACTGAAGAAAATGTAATAATCTTATTATCTTATATCAATTAGGATAGTTATTGTCAAAAGCACAAAAAGAATAAGTGTTGGTAAGGATGTGGAGAAATTGGAACCCCTGTGTAGTGCTAGTGGGAATATAAAATGGTACAGCCACTATTAAAAACAGTATGACAGTTCTTCAAAAAATTAGGAATAGAATTACCATAGGATTCAACAACACTATTTCTGGATATATAACCAAAAGATTTGAAAGTAGGTTCTTAGATATTTGTACACCCACCCACATAGCAACAGTATTCACAACAGCCAAGAAGTGGGAGCAATGCAAGTGTCCATTGACAGATTAATTAATTTAAAAATGTAGCATAGTCAGCCCTCCATATCTGTGGGTTCTACATTTATGGATTCAGCCACCAGAGGATCAAAAATATTTCACAAAACACTGTGTATGTACTGAACATGTACAGACTTCATTTTCTTGTCACTATTTCATAAACAATACCTTATAAAAACTATTTCTGTAGCATTTACATTGTATTAGGTATTATCAGTAATCCAAAGATGATTTAAAGTATATGAGAGAATATGTACAGGTTATATGCAAATACTACATAATTTTATATCAGGGACTTAGTGGTATCCTTGGTGGTCCTGGAACCAATTCCCCGTAAATACTGAGAAACTATTCTATATACACATAATAAAATATTATTTAGCCTTAGGGAAGGAAATTCTGACATATACTACAACATGGATGAACCTTAAGGACATTATGCTAGGTGAAATAAACCAGTCACAAAAAGACTAATACTGTATGATTTTACTTATATGAGGTGTCTAGTTAAATTCATAGAGACAGAAAGTAGAATGTAGTTGCCAGGGGCTAGGAGGGGAAAATGAACAGCTGTTGCTTAATGAGTACAGAGTTTCAGCTTTGCAGGATGAAAAAGTTCTGGGGATTGGTTACACAACAGTATGAATACACTTAACACTACTAAACTGGCTAAGATGGTGAACACAATGTTGTATGTATTTTACCACAGTAAATACGAATAAACCTAACACTACCAGACAGGTTAAGATGGTGAACACCATGTTATATGTATTTTACCACAGTAAATATGAATATACTTAATACTACCAAACTGGTTAAGATGGTGAACACCATGTTACATGTATTTTACCACAGTAAATATGAATATACTTAATGCTACCAAACTGGTTAAGATGGTGAACACAGTTATATGTATTTTACCACAGTTTAAATTTTATTGAAACACAGAGTTTTTCCCCTCACCAACCAATTCTCCAGCTCCTGGACACCAACTGGGTGTCCTATAATTCAATTTTGACACTAACTACCTGAAGTATTGCAGACCTCAAAGGGCTTATTTCTACAAGATTACCCCCAACTTCAGACACCAGTCACAAGAAGTGGATCCCCAGATGACCTACACTGCTTATCCGACTTGGCTACAAATTGGGGATTCCCACAACCCTCTCCTTGGGTTTGATAATTTACTATGATATCTCACAGAAATCTGGAAAACACATTTCCGGCTTATTATAAAGATTATGATAAAAGATACAGATGAACAACAGATGAAGATATACATAGGTCAAGGTCTGGAAGGGTCTGGAGTGTAGGGGCTTCTGACCCATGAAGCTGGAGTGAGCCACCCTTCTAGCAGGTGAATGTGTTCACCAACCTGGAAGCTCTCCAAAGCCAGCCTTTTCGGGATTGTTATGGAGGCTTCATGACATAGACACAATTGATTAAGTCAATCTCTAGTCCATTTCCCCTCCCTGGAGGACGGGGTGTGAGGCTGAAAATTCTCCACCTCTAATCATGGCTTGGTATTTCTGGTGACCAGCAGCCATCCCAAAGCTATCCAGTAGCCCGCCAAGAGTCACCTCAATAAAACAAAGCGTACTCCTATCTCCCAGGAAGTTCCAAAGGTTTTAAGACCTGTGTCAGTAACTGCGAGCAGAAACAAAACATATTTCTTATGTCAAAATAGGAATACACTACTGGAGGAGCAGGTAGACTCTTTTCCCCAGGACTGACTTTGGAATATTGTGAGGAGGTGCCAAATTCTATACTATGGATAGTACCCTGTGAATAGTTCTCAAATGACTAGCAGAAAGTTGTTTGGTTTATAAATAGCAGTTTCAAAGTGAATGGACAGCATCCTATTTGGAAGGCCACCTCTATGTTTGAAGAACATAAAAAACAAACCAGTTTGATGGGCAACATTATGTGCTATTTTCCTTATAGTGATGGAAGAATTGAACAAAGACAAAAATCCCCCACTTGAGATTTTACTGCTTTGTGGATGGTGACCAATGGCCTGACCATGTGGCCAGACAGAGAGCAATGTAAAACTGCCTATTAAAGGCATACCCATAGGAAAATCAGTAAGAGAATTTGGGGAGGAGTGCATTAAGGTAGAACACATTGGTACCCAACAGAAGAATCCATTTGTAGGTTCAGCAGGTGACTGCAATTGACCAGTAGATATCCCAGTATGCTTGCTTGAAGTAGCCACCTGGGTCCATGAAATGAGTGGACACTGGGGGCCTGCAGCAATGTAAAGATGGATGAACTCTAGACATATTCCTCTTGCACCTCTGAAGCACAAAATACCACTAAAAACTGTTTTGCCTTCCAAAAATAAGAGACAGACACTGCAGATGGCTGTGTGTCAACAGTCCCTGGGAGAAGACCCTGAACAAGCTGGTAGGTGGGACTGATGCTGGCTATGAGAGGGTCTTGATGGGAATAGACACTGGACTTGGCTTTCCTTACCATGTGATAGATGCAAATATTCAGAGAACTGTCAAAGAATCGGAATAGAAGATATTGCATCAATTTGGACTACCAAGTAACATTTCATCAGACCGAGGAACACCTCTCACAATCTATAATTTCAAGAATTGGCAGAGAGATATTTTCCTCAGAGTAATATAATAATTCAGTAGAGAATTGGAATGGGCATTTGAAACACTGGTTGCCTAAAATGGGAGAATATAAAAGCATGAAGAGCTGGCTTACATGCCTTTGCAAATGTGTGCTCACACTCAACAACAAGGAGACAAGCATCTCCTAGATAGATTCCTGGTTTTCTGGTAGATCAGCAGGATAGGGAGTGGGAGAAGATGCTGGTATGACTATGCAATTTCTCCCACAGGGAAGATGACTGATGACTATACTTTCTTCTTTCTTCCCCGTGCCACTTCAACTTTGTTTTTCCTACTTCATGGTCACAGGCTCAAGGCTGCAACTGCAAGTGCTGAAGGCAGTGATGATTCCTAAACAATAAAGTATAGCTCTATTCTAAACTTTATGTCAGAATTCCTACAGGCCTGATGGGTCAGATTGTGCCTTCACCTCATCTAGAAATACTGGGATTGACCGTGAACACAATTATAATGTCTAATGGTAAAAATAGCCCATTTCTATAACTATGTAACGCTCCCTATGTGAATGGTAGTGGGCTGATGGAGAGGTACTTGCTAGATTAGTATTGCTGCCTGCAATTAGACCAGCACAGTGGCTGAACCTAATGTCCCTTCCAAAGGTGGAAAAATTTGTATAAATGGAGAGAAGGAGAAATAGTAGATGAGGATAATGCAACAAATAAATGGGTTCTGTAATGACGGAAACTCAATAGTACTTTAACACCTTGAAAGAGGCTCAGAGCAAAAGATGTTATTATCTTTTACTCAGTTATATCTCATGCCTCGAAGGGTGAAACCATCTATTGCTGACACCGCTCCTGCTATTGGAACTAGGCAGGATCAAATGAAAGCCTGCAAACTGGAGTGGCCTCATCCCAGGAGACATTTTCATGAAATATGATAATAGACTGAACTAATTATTAAGAACTGAATGGGACTCTAGTAATATGCCAGCATCTTTCGACTTTATTTTTTAGTTACATCTACCATAATGTAATATTGTTTTACACTTGCATTGTTGGTAAAAAATATAATACCAATATCGATAGTCAAATGAATTGGAAAAAAAATGAGTTAAAAGCCTCCTATTCCTATACCACACTCCTTCCTCAAAATGTTGCTCAGACAGATGATCCTTTTGCTATAAAGAATTCATGGTCAAAGACCAAGGGGTATCCTGTGATGTAACAAAAATATATATATTTGGTTCTTGTCCTGGTTCCTGGTACAGACCTTCTAAAATCCTTGGAGACTCCTGAGTGGTAGGACTGTCTTTTGTTATCCATAAAGAGCCCCTTTGACCATGCCTGAGTTTATGCTAATGATGTGATTCATGGTGGGGGCCCTAGATTACTGTAGGGTGGGGGCTGTTCACCAGAGAAACAAACTCTGTGAATGGAGGGTCAGAAATTTAGCCCTACCTCCCACCCTGACTTCCAGAGACAGGAGAGGCACTAGAGGTTGTGTTTAATCACTGATGGCCAATCATTTAATCAGTCACGTCTATATAATGAGATCTCATATAAAAACTCCAAGCAGTGGGATTTAGGGAATTTTTGAATTGATAAACACATGGATGTGCTGGGAGGGTGGCATGCCACAGAGGGCATGGAAACTGTACACTTTTCCCCCTTCCTTGCCTTATGTACCTCCTCATCTGGATGTTCCTTCCTATCCTTTATAATAAACTGTAATCACAAGTGTATAGAGCACCCTTGACATAACTAACTCCATCTTAGAAAAAGACTCCTCTTTATATTTCATAGGATACTTTGCCAACAAGGATAAGATGTTTTGTTTAATAAACAAATTAAAAAAAAAAGATGGCATCCAATCACATAAAGACACAAACAAGAACTCTTCCACTATCAGTTCTCATCAGAGGACTCTGTGACTATAAAAGATTAGCCTTTCAGCAGCTCAAAATGCCCATCTTGGGTGATACTATCTTGCAGTCAAAGACTCTGCCTTGCAAGACCAACAGACCACCTAGACCACTTGGCTCAGACCAGGATTCTGTCTTCTTCACTTTCCCTGGACTGATTCATTAACCGTTTCTCCTATCTGACAGAGCAGGAGCATCACCATTTGGGACAAGGCCCTAATTCTAAAGTTCACCTTAATAAAAAAAACCACCTAAATCCAAAGGGCATCAGCCTAATGGCTAAGGTCAGCATGACCATAAACCACAAATAACATCTCCAACCAGAAACATTTCAAACTCCTCCCTAACCAAAGACATGCTGGCCCCTAGATAAGACCCCTCCGGCCAGGAAGATGCCAGCCTCGAGATAACTCCGCTCTGGGCCAGAAAGATTTCTGTCCCAAGACAACCTCCCCTCCTAACTGAGAGATTCCAACCCCACCATAAACTTCTCCCCACACACATAAACATTCCAAGCTTGTGATAAGCCCCCTCACCCTAAAACCAATATATACTTTTAGTCTGTAAGAGAAAGTGATCCTGACCACAATCGGCCAGGAGCACCTCTCATGTTTTAACTAAAGAAAACCTGTCTTTGACTGCCAAGCCGTGTTTCGTGTTTCTTTCCTCTTTCTTTAAGTCTTACGCTATCTCTTTTTCCCCTTGGTGATAAATATTATTTTGCTTTTGTGGAATGTTTAACATATAACATTTGAATATTGGTTAAGCACACTGCTATGTATGATATGTCATATTGACTGACTTGTGGAGTGGCTTGAACCTGTGTGACCATAGCTCTGGCTAGGGAGTAAACAGGAAGTACTATGGAGAATTGTTTCTGTGGGAACTCCAGGTGGCATTTGTGATTGAAATAGCATCAATAAAAGCCTGACATTGTGGAAAGACACAAACATGCATGGACCTGGTTATTTCTAATCTTGCATTGGTCACGACAAAATGTATAGTACTTTCTTGAGTTCTGTGAATGGTTGTAATGAATTATTGAATCTGAGGGCATCGTAGGAACCCCCAAGTTGGCTAGGAGACTACTGTAGTAATCAAGGATAGATAGTATATCATTTTCCAACAACAATTCTTAATTTTCTGACACCAACCATGTGTCCTACAATTCTATTCTGACACTAAGTACCAGGAATTAGTGCAGACCCACACTTTAAGGGCTTAGTCCCAATAAGGCTGCCCTCACTTCAGATGCCAGCTGCAAATGGGGTCCCCAGGATACCTAAACAGTTGCCAAGTTGTTAAATACGTAAGAAATTCTTCTTCAAAGGTTTAGCTTGCTGAAGTTTCCTTGTCCTTTGTTCTCTGCTTTCAAAGCCAGACTTCCTTACTCTCTGTGTTCCCCCTGCCCTGGTAAACAACCTTCCCGCCAGTCCTTATCTATACAGCCCACATTCCACATCTGCTACCCATGCTGTCAATTACCCCTCCTATCGCAATGGCTTCTCCCACTGACACTGATCTTCCTGCCTTCCCGCCAGTGTAACCGCATTCCTGCACTTTTCAAGTTAGCCAATCGGGTTCAGCTTAGATTGTGGGGTCCAACCCTAGCCAATGGGGGAAAGACACAGAAGCAGAAGCTGCATTAGAGATAATAAAAACCCCTGCTTTCCTTTGTTCTATGTGCTCTTGCCCTTGCTCCATACGTGAGATGCACCCTTCTGCAGAAGTAAATTTGCCTTGCTGAGAGACCCTTTGTCTTTTGTCTCAGTGCTAGTTCTTCTTTGTGGCACCAAGCATTTGTTTCCAACACAAGCCAACTGCAATGAAGAGGTTCTAACATATATGGTCTTCAAAAATTCTAACACCCATGGTCTAGACTACTTATTTTGAAAAATTATTAAGTAATATTTTAATGTATACTTATAATACCCGAAATTGCAAAAATACAATTGATGAATATGTGTTTATACACTGTTCTCTACGTGACCAGATAAAGAACGATTACTTTTTATTCCTTTTACAACTAATGGCAGAGAATTGTGGTAGATCTGAATGACGAGTGAAGGTGTGAATATTGGTGAACAAAGAAGAGTACACCAAAGGAATGAGAAACAGGCAAAGAGGGGGCATTCTCTACAGAGTATCTTACTGGCTACATTGGCCTCCATATCCTCCAAGAGAGTAACTGGAACAGGTAACTCTAGATGGGAATTTAGGGGGCGGAGAAGCTCCAAGATGAAGAAGATAAACGTA
The DNA here is from genome assembly GCF_000001405.40 of Homo sapiens. NCBI lineage: Eukaryota > Metazoa > Chordata > Mammalia > Primates > Hominidae > Homo > Homo sapiens. The sequence goes on along the minus strand of NC_000011.10, from coordinate 7,079,184 downwards.
TCCACCATAGAGAAAGAGAAAAAGGAATCATCTTCTTCCTCTGGCCCCCCAGAAAATCTGCACAGGGCTATGTCCTGACAAGGAAGAGTTGGAGAATGCAAAGAATTGTCTTGCAAATCCCTATCTCCTCAGGGTATAATTCCCTAAGACAATTATATGAGACTCTTTCCAACTAGAAAGGTCAGGGAAACTTCCCTGCAGCAGAACGAAGTGCCTGTGGCCTGGGACCCTTACTTTGTTCCTGCTATCTTCAGGGATTGAGTTCTGGTTCAATGGTCCAGACATGTGGAGCAACCCCATGGCTCTATACTATCCCACAATTCTTCAGTAGTAGGGAGGGAGACTCCCAATTTGGATACCTCCTTGTTTTTAAAAGATTTAATCAATTTTTTTTTTGAGACGGAGTGTCACTCTTGTCACCCAGGCTGGAGTGCAATGGTGCGATCTTGGCTCACTGCAGCCTCTGCCTCCCGGGTTCAAGCAATTCTCCTGCTTCAGCCTCCCAAGTAGCTGGGATTGCAAGCACCCACCACCATGCCCGGCTCTTTTGTATTTTTAGTAGAGACGGGGTTTCACCATGTTAGCCAGGGTGGTCTCAAACACCTGACCTCAGGTGATCCACTCGCCTCGGCCTCCCAAAGTGCTGGGATTACAGGTGTGAGCCACCATGCCCAGCCCTCTAATTTCTTTAAAATGTAATTTAATCTAATTCAATTTTTTTGTTTTTTTTTTTTTTTTTTTTTTTTTGAGACAGAGTCTCGCTCTTTCGTCCAGGCTGGAGTGCAGTGGTGCTATCTGGGCTCACTGCAAGCTCCACCTCCCAGGTTCAAGCCATTCTCCTGCCTCAGCCTCCTGAGTAGCTGGGACTACAGGTGCCCGCCATCATGCCCGGCTAATTTTTTGTATTTTTAGTACAGACGGGGTTTTGCCATGTTAGCCAGGATGGTCTTGATCTCCTGACCTCGTGATCCACCCGTCTTGGCCTCCCAAAGTGCTAGGATTACAGGCATGAGCCACCGCACCCAGCCTAATTCAATTTTTAAACTTAATTTCATCCAATTTATTTTTTAAATTATGGTAAAAATGCACATAAAATTTTCCATCTTAGTCATTTTTAGGTGTATATTCCAGTAGTGTTAAGTACATTCACATTGTTGTGCAAACACTCTAGAACTCTTTGTCTTGCAAAACTGAAACTCTATACCCATTAAACAACCCCAGGGTCCCCCCCACCCCACCTCCAGACCCTGGCAACTACCATTCTTCTGTCTCTATAAATTTGACTACTGGGAACCCCCTCTGATATGGTTTGGCTGTGTCCCCACCCAAATCTCATCTTGAATTCTCACATGTTGTGGGAGGCACCCAGTGGGAGGTAACTGAATCATGTAGTCAGGTCTCTCCCATGCTGTTCTCATGATAGTGAATAAGTCTCATGAGATCCGATGGTTTTAAAAAGAGGAGTTTCCCTGCACAAACTCTCTTTTCTTTTCTATAGCCACGTGAGACGTGCCTTTCACCTTCTGCCATGATTGTGAGGCTTCCCCAGCCACATGGAACTGTAAGTCCATTAAACCTCTTTCTTTTGTAAATTGCTCAGTCTCAGGTATGTCTTCATCTGCAGCCTGAAAACGGACTAATACACCCTCATTTATTCAAACAGCATGAACCAAAAGAGTGGCTGACTTTTAATTCACATATATTTATGTTACTTCAATGAATGGTAAGCATCCACTTTTCTGGAATCCATTTCTGTCTTTAGGAGAGTGGCTTCAGAGATTGGGACCTCGGCCCAGATTGGCGAAATTGCCCCCTGCGGGCAAAGAACTCAGAACTAAAGGAAGGAATGCTAGCCGTTGTGGGCTCTCGGCGCTGTCCAGGGTCCTGCTTTCTCTGGTGATGGAGACCAGAATTGGGGTCACCTCCTTTCCAGCCGCACCCACGCCCCTACCAGGCGCCCCACGCCGAGTTCCGAGGGCGTCTGGCTCAGGGACACAGGAGGAGGAGCGGAAGGTCAGGGCCTGAGAGCTGATTCGTCACACCCAATTAAAGAAATGTAAAAAGACAACCAGAAACGTGGGGCACCCTGGGATAGAATCCCGGGACTCCCACCGGATGCGATTCTAGGGAGTCTCCAGAGAGCTAGGTGTTTCGGGCAGTGACTTCTGCTGGAGTCTGCGGGGCTTCCCATGATAACAAGATCACCTATCTTCACCGAGTTGCTGGGAAGTTGGAAAATAATACAAGTGTTCCCTGGAAGAGTAGGATGCTTTTGCTTCTATTCATTCTTCATTCATTCATCAATTTTTATTCATTCATTCATTCACTCTTGAATCATAGCCCACATGTGCAAGAAGACACTGTGCTGTAGGCTGGAAATAAAATAGTGAAGAAAAGGCTCATGGTTTCTGTTCTCATAGAACTTACATTGTGATGAGGGAGACAAGCGATGGGAAATAAAATAAATACATATCTGTGATAGTGGTAGAAAAAAAAAAGAAACACGGTGCTTTGGTAGGAAAGGGGAGGGGGAGATGATGATATATAAGATAGAGTGCTCAACCTCTCTGAGGAGGCGATATTTCAACTGCAGGTTAAGGGATCATCCAGAGCCAGCTCTGTAAGGAGGAGGAAGAGGAGCTGAGTGGCCAGAGAGGATCAGGTATGCAAAGGGAAATGCATAGCCTTAATGCTTATAATAAAAGAGAGAAGGCTGGGAATCAGAAGAATCCAACTTAAGAAGTTAGCATACTAACAGAATAAATTTAAAGATAGCAGAAATAATGCAATAAAAATTCACAAAAAAATTAAAAAGAAAACGATAAAACATAAAGAATAAAAAAAACTAAAGTTAGTTTTGAAGACTCTATTTGCTTTTTTGACAATCTGACTTGACTCTATTTAAAATTGCAAACCCTTTCTTCCCCAGAGCTGAGTTTAGCATGAGGGGAGTGACTTGCCTGATGCACAAAATTTAAGGAGATACAAAAAAACTTAGTAACCAAGATAAATACTATTTTTAGAGACAAAAGTTAGTGCAAAAATATCCATAATGATCAAAATATCAAAATTTTCATTTGACTTATTCTAACCATCACCACTGTTCCACAGCAGTGACACTGTTGTAGAACCCCAAAATTTAGGTTCATATATCTGATGTGCAGTAAGTGAAACACTGACACATCATCCCTTAGGAGCAGATAAAAGTTTATTCAATTTGGCTAAAGTGAGAGGGCAGGAGAGATGAGCTCTCAAATTTGACCTGCCTTCGAACATAACTGTGGGCTTTTATGAATAAGGTAGACATGCAGGAGGGGAGATCCCCGATGATCAAAGCTATCTGCATCTCTAGGGTGATCAAACTTCTGGGTGCCATCAAGGAGGTCTGCATGACCTAAGGATCATTGTTCTTTAAAAGAAAAATGAGTTCATTAATTCTGCAGGTTGCCCCAGAATTTAGGATATGAAGTTAAACAATTACTAGTGACTATATTCCCTCAAAATGACTGTATACTCCATGCTTACTTGCATGGAGGAAGAAAAGAACAAAGACAAATAATAAGTAAAATGAACACATAATGATTTTTGTAATATAGGCTCAGTTATACCACCAGGCATGTTTTTAATATTTAAATGCTAATGCTTCTAAGCGTATTGCTATCAGTTTAAGATAAACATTCCTCATCATGTTATAAAACTACCTCACAAAGAGACTGAATTTTATTAAACGCCTTTTCAATGTAAATTGAGATAATTGGTTTTTCTGCATCATCCAATTAATGTGATAAATTATAATATTCCTCCTATCAGCCCACTCTTGCACTTCTAAGTCACAATAATCATAGTATATTTTAATTAAATGTTGAAATTTTCAAAAATTTTAATACTAGGTCTTTGCATAGTCATAAGTGACATTCATCTTTAAATTTCGTGATAGTGCTATTAGGCTTGAGAAATAATAAAATCCAAAGTCCCCAACTGACTGAATGGATCCCCAGTTGGCCAACGGAACCCTGGAAAAACCTTGGAAGCTGAGTTCCCATTCATGTCAGGAGAGACGGGAGGTCAGACACACCACATTACTCCCTCCCCTTAGTTAACTACCCTTAGGCTTTCTTCCCTACAGGCTAAACAGAAACCAGCCCTTTCAAAAGGCTCCACACCAATAATGTCAACAACTAGCTTATCTTCCCCAGGTGCACCAAAAAGACAAAGATTAATTATTCCTTCACTCCTGAGACATCTGCTTACTTTATTCCTTTTTTCTTCAAATGTTCACCTTATATAAAATGTAGATTTACTGGGCACTAAAGTCTGAAAACTATATAATCATTAATTTCACTGACACGTCCCCTTTTTAAAGGAAAATGTATAAATACTAAACCTCTTCAGATCCGCTACAGAAAAAACAGCCACAGATGCACCTGTGACCCCTATTTTTCCTAGATGCATTCTCAAGCTGGCTCAATAAATCCTGATGATTTGAGACTTATGCCTCAATCACTCATTTTGGTTGTCAGGTTCTATTATCAATAGTTTTCATCTTTAAAAAATGAATTAGAAAAGCTGTCTTCCTCTATAATGCTCTGAAATGGTTTCAGAAATATAAGAATTTTCCTTTTTCTGACAGTCTGGTAGAAATTATCTTAAGAAACATTTACCTTTGTTGGAGTTTTCCTTGGGCAGCTTGGAAATCCTGTTGTCTGTGAAGGATGAGACGATGACTGCAGCCCAAGGCTATCATGTGAAAGAGGTGTCACCACTTTGGTGTATACTTTCTTTTCTGTGTTTGTTATAATAGCCCCAGTTAGATTCCTCTAACTAGCAAGACTGTCCTCACTGGGAATCAACCTCAGTAAAGCCACCTCTCTATGTATCACCTATGCCAAATGTGAGCAGCAGTATTACTGTTTTGTGTGGATATCAGCACCAGTAACATTACTTGCAAATTTTCACGAAAACCATTTGCCCCCTCTGACTGCCAAGGTCTATTCTCCAGTCCTCCACATTGACTCAGGGGATATTATACGAGTGTGATTTCCTGGCCCCTTTCAAGGCACACAGGTCCTAAAACTTTGTGAATATTTGAAGCAGTAAGTGTTTTTGTATGCTAATGAGATGGCTGGTAGTTGGAGGCTCCTGGATAGTTTCAGGATGGGGGCTGGTTGCTAGGAGAACCAACCATGTGATTAAAGGGTTGGAATTTTCAGCACTCCCCATCCCGACCTCCAAAGAAGCAAGGGGATGCTGAAGGTTGAGTTTATGACAATGGCCAGTGACTTAATCAATCATGCCTACCTAATGAAGCTTCCACAAAAAGATGGGATTCAGAGAGCTCCCTGGTTGCTAAACACATCCATGTGCTTAGAAGGTAGCACAAGCCAAATGCACAGGGATAGAACCTTCCGAACCTCACCCTATGTGTCTCTTTCATATGGCTGTTCATTTGTATCATTTGAAATATTCTCTTATAATAAATGGGTAAACATAAGCAAAGTACTTCCCTGAGTTCTGTGAGCCATCCTAGCAAATTATGGAACCCAGGGAAAAGAGAGTTGTGGGAACCCTGACTTATGGCCAGTTTGTCAGAAGAACAGGTCACAACCTGGAACTTGCAATTGGTACTTCAAATAGGGGAGAGTCTTGTGGGACTGAGATCCTCACCTGTGGGATACAATGCTACCTCCAGGATGATAATATCAGAATAGAATTGAATTATAGGACACCCAGCTGGTGTTGGAAAATTGCTTGGTGTGGTAAAAACCCACACATTTTGGTGACCAGAACTGCATGGGAATTGACAGTCTTATCAAAGAAAAAGTGTTGGTTTTTGCCTTACAATAAGTTAAAAGGCTTTATTTTCTCCCACAGACAAGGAGAAAAACATTAAGTTTGTGGTGAACTAAGGAAGGCCACAAATTCTTTGACACTACTCCCATCAACAATTGATTCTCCCAGAATCTGAGCTGGCCTGTACTATTTTCACTAATGGAGGATTATGGAAGTGACTTTATGCCAGTTCTGGGCCTAGCTTTTAAGATAAATGGCAGCTTCCTCTTGGCCCTTTCAAATCCTGAATCCCCACACTGCAGAAACCACATGGAGAGGCCCTAAGACTACAAGCAATGTTAGAGTAGGTAGTTAGACAGATATGAGAGCAGGGCAGGAGAGAGGGCCCCCAGGAATGCCAAGCAATTCTTGAGCCATAGTCAAGCACTCGTAAACCTTTTCCTCTGAGATAATGAACAGGACAAGGGAGGGCCCCCAGAGAAGTCTGGCTCTCATCAGGTGAAGGACAGGTGAGCATAAAACTATCTCTCTGAGACAATAAGTGGCCACAACTGCCACCAGGAAGGAAAGGACTCCTCCAACAGATAGAAAACACCTGGAGTCAGCAAACCACAATCCCTGATAAAGTTTCAACTGTGTGCAAAGGGGAGCAAGATGGTGGACTTTGACCTGTATATGACCTTCCTCTGGGGGAGCTCAACCAGTAAGAAAAAATCATCCCAAGGGAGCATGCATACAACTTCAGTAAACACACCGTGCACGGGGCCTCTCACAAGTGGTGACAGGCCACTGCACACAGGTAATCAAGCAACAACCCGCCCAAGGGAGGGATCAACAGGGGAGAAGAGCCTGGAAGATGAGTCAATGTATAAAGTCTCAAACCAAGGATCAAGAGAGACACTTGAATCTCTCAGGTGGCCTGCTTGATTTCTTCCAAGTGTACTTTGCTTTCTTTAATAAACTTTGCCTCTGCTTTAAACCTACTTCTGCCTCTCAGTTGAATTCTTTCCTCTGAGGGGGCAAGGATCAAAATTGCTGAGAATCACTAGACTTCCGGCTGATAACAGGAAAAGGGGTCTGGCTCATCCCAGCCTTTCAGCCATCCCTGCCAAGGCAGCAGACGTGTCCAAGTTATCTGGGGCCTCCAGAGCAATCTGGCTGCCAGGTGAATACCACCAAGGGACCCCAAGTAATACCATGTGGAGTATAAGAAATGCTCAGCTGGGCCCTTTCTGAATTCCAATCCAAGTTATGAGATTTAATAAAATCATTATTGTTTTAAGCCACCAAGTTTTGGGATAGTTTGTTACACGATCAATAAATAACCAGAACAGTCTTTCACACACACACACAAAATTTATTGTGTCACGCTCTTGCCAAATGAAAGAATCTGTTTCTAGCTCTAGCCCAAATAACCTTATATTCCCTTAAAGGAAATTAATCCTCCTTATCTTTACAATAAGCTATAGAAAGTATTCATTGTAGAAGTAGACTCCCATTTCTATTGAAACTAGTGACTCTCAACTATTAGTATACTTAAGAATTTGCCTGGGAAATTCTCAAAAATGCTGGTTGCTAGCTGGTAGCAGACATTCTGATTTGGTAAGTCTAGTGTGGGGTTCAGGAATCTCCATTTTAAGACGGATACCCAAGTGATCTTGACACTGGTGATCCCAAGAACACATATGGAGACACATTTTAATAAAACGTGCCAGAGATAGCAGGGCTGTGAACTAAGCCATGTCAGTGGAAGTAAGGAAAAAACAAGGCATTTTAACTGATCTTCCCTGTCTGCATCCTCCAGCCTCATATCCAGGCTTCCCTTACCTGCATTCTTAAGCTCTGTATCCAATTAAAAACATACTTTTCAGAGAGTTTTATGCTTTTCATTTTATTTTAGCCTCTCGACCACTGTGTGAAGTAGAACAGACATTTTACAGAGAAGTAGATGAATGGTATCTGACAGCTGCCAAGTGCACTATCTCTGGGCATAGAGTATCTGAAGCTAAGCACCCAAGTCTGGGTATATATCTATGTATGTATGTATTTATATTTATATTTTTAAAGGAATGTCAGTTTCTTCAAATCAGAAACACCACCACCAAGACACATCTTCTTCATTATGATAGTTACAATCTGGCTTAATGATTAAGTGTGGATTGCTAACTCCCACAGCTTCCAGCAGCTTCTGGGCTTCCTCATCAAATGCCTCTTTGCACAACCTGAGAAAACAAGGGAACATCTCTTTTCCTGCATTCAATTTCCCTACAGCCCTCCACTTTCTCTGTAAAGGATTTATTTCAGGAGAAAAAAAACTGTTCTGTTAAAATAGAGAGATAATATTATAACATGGGTGAGGAGTGGGGAAGCGAACTGAGAGAGATACAGTGAGGGAGATAAAGTAGTGGAAGGAAGACAGAATAAATTAACAGAAGAGAAAGAGAAACCAATTAAAATTAAAAAGGATCCTCCAAGAGCCTTTTGCTATCCAAGCAAAATTAATATTACTACTGATAATAATAAAAACAGAGAACATATTTATTGTTTATTATCATGCAAGGCACCATTCTAAGTACTTAGCCTATATTGACTCAGATCCTCATGATAACCTTATGGGTAGATTTTATCATTTCACCCATTTTACTCATAAGCAAATCAAAACAAAGAGTGATGGGGGACTAGCCTTAATTAAACATTTAGTAAGTGGTAGGGTCAGAATTCAAGCTCATCTAGGCTGGTTCCAGGGTGCTCAATATTTAACCACTATGCTATATTGTATCTCTCAATATTCAGTGTTCTATGACAGAAAAACAAATAAGTGTCTAGAAAATACCCAATGATACACAATTAGGTGGATTCTGAGGCCTGTATTAATGAGTGGCTCCCCAAATCCCTCATTATAGGAAATGCTCCCCCTGAGAAGCCAATGGAGACTTACCCTAGAACTTGTAGTTTACACTTAGGAGACTTCAAGACTTTATATAACTTCACAATTCCTTCATATCCTAAGGTATTCTGTGTCAGATTCATTTTTATCAGTCTTTTGTTGCAGATAAGAGCAGAGGAGAGATCTTGACAGCAGAGAGATGTCAAACCACAGTATTCCAACCTGTAGAGAAGAGAGACAAAAGATAAAAATGAATTTATTCGATGACACAACAAAGCCCACAAGAGATCTGTGAACTCAGAATGGAGGATAATTCCAGAAACTTTAAAAAATGAGCACAGTTAGTATAAATTCAAGGACTATAAGTACCTATAATATTCATTATTACCAGATATTTCTAGGCTGAACTTATCCCTTCCAAAATCATGAATTACAAATTCGTAATTATTAAGGAATAAATAAAATATGCAAGCACGTTACAAAATACTATGAAGCAGTTGAATCCTTGAACATCACTAAAAATACATCACTATAACTAGATATTGGAAGCTTGGTAGTGAGTGTTTAAAAAGCAAGGAATAGGCCAGGCATGGTGGCTCATGCCTGTAATCCCAGAACTTTGGGAGGCTGAGGTGGGCAGATCATCTGAGGTTAGGAGTTCGAGACCAACCAGGCCAACATGGTGAAACCTTGTCTCTACTAAAGATACAAAAATTAGCTGGGGGTAGTGGTAAGCGCCTGTAATCCCAGCTGCTTGGGAGGCTGAGGGAGGAGAATTGCTTGAACCCAGGAGGCAGAGGTTGCAGTGAGCTGAGATCGCACCACTGCATTCCAGCCTGAGCTATAGAGCAAGACTCCGTCTCAAAAAAAATAAAATAAAATAAGCAAGAAATATAATAAGGTCTCTAGCATCATGCCATTGATGCAAATAAAAATGCAATTACATGGCCTATTTCGAATACATTAGGTCAGCTGCCTATAGGTGGGAAAGAGAATGGCTAATGGAGATAAATTAGCCAACCCACCCATCTGTCAGCCAAGGGCCTCTGCACAAGCCGATAATAGTATATACGTGAACTGAGGAAGTATGTCAAACTCAGCCTTCTGCATCTAACATTCTCCTAAACAATTTGAATCTAATTTTCACCTTATGTTTACCTGGCCATTGAACAACTGAGTACCTATATAGATGCTGAGCATACAAAACTTTTTTTTTGTTAAGTGATCACATTTATGTGATGAAGAGATAGTCCCACTAATTATGAGACAGGGTATGTAAATATCACACAAAATCTTCCTTAGGGGAAAAAGCATCGTAAAACAAAGTGTTATCATGAATTCATCAGGAAATATAATCATTTTATATTTTCAGTCACAAATTATAGTCTCAAAATATAGAAGACAGAAACGAACAGAACTGCAAAGACTCAAATCTAGAATTTTAATGAAAATTTTAACATTTTTCACAGTAACTGAGTTATCTGGAAAAAAATCACTAAAATTTAGATAAACAGAACTAATAATCTTAATTAACTGATACAGAATACTGCCACTGCCCAGGCACAGTAGCTGGCACCTGTAATACCAGCACTTTGGGAGGCTAAGAGAACAGAGTAGCTTGAGGCCAGGAATTCAAGACCAGCTTGGGTAACAGAACAAGACCTCATCTCTACCAGAAAAGAAGAAAAAAATAGCCAGACATGGTAGTGCACACCTGTAGTCCTAGCTACTCGTGAGGCTGGGAGGCTTGGTTGCCTAGGTGATTGAAGTCTACAGTGAGCTATGATCACATCACTGCACTCCAGCCTGGGTGAAAGAAAAAGACCCCGTACTTAGAAAAAATATAAATTAAATTAGAAATAACAATTTTTTGTGTTCTTAAGTATGTTTAAAAAGTCATGTAGCAAATGACAACAAACTTCAAAGAACTGTACTCATGCACAGTATGTTCTCAGACAACAATTCTACAGACTGAATATAAAAAGAAAAGCCTCATGCTTGAAAATTAAGGAGTATGTTTACAAATAACCTATTAGTTGAAGAAAAAAGTTCTAGGGAAGTTTACAAATATTGTGGACTCAAAAATAACAAAAACACTGCATACAACATCAAAATTTTATGATTAAGTTAACGCAGTCATTTGAAGGGAAGTTGTAACCTTAAATATCTTTGTTGGAGAAGAAGAAAGGGAATATGTATGTCTAAGCATACAACTCAAGAATTTAGTAAATGGTAAAATAAACCCAACAAAAGTACAAGAAGAAAAATAAGATAAAAACAGAAATTAATGAAATAGAATGTAGATGTACAACAGAGTGGATCAATGTTGTGTTCTTTGAATAAAAAATAAAGAAATGGTCAAATTCAATATCAGAAATGAGAAAAAACACATCACTATAGATGATTAAGAAGTTAAGCAAATAATAAAATACTAGATGCTTGCCAATAAGTTTTAAAATTTAGATGAAATAGATAAAATCAACAATATATACTTACTAAAAAGTACCCTATGAGAAAGAGAAAACCTAAATAATTATTTAAAAAATTGAATCAGAAGTCAAAAATCCTACATACAAAGAAACTCCAGGTTAGACAGCTTCACCAGAAATTGTTACAAAGTTCAAAGAAGAAATAATTCCAATCTTACAAAAATCTTCTCAGGAAACTAAAAGATAAGAAACACTCCTGAACTCATCAAAATACTGTAATTCTGACACAAAAACTTGATGAAGACTGCAAAAGAAATTATAACCTATCTCCATTATGAACAAAATGGTTAAATGCTGTCACTAATATTAACATTAACAAAGTAAATTACACAATGTACACAGGAGATATGTCCAAGTTGGTTTTACTCCAAAAAATGCAAGGTTGATATAATGCATATTATATCGATGTGATTCATCACATTTGGCAAAATTCTTCAAGGATAAGCAACTTCAGCAAAGTCTCAGGATACAAAATCAATGTGCAAAAATCACAAGCATTCATATACACCAATAACAGACAAAGAGCCAAATCATGAGTGAACTCCCATTCACAATTGCTACAAAGAGAATAAAATACCTAGGAATACAACTTACAAGGAATGTGAAGGACCTCTTCAAGGAGAACTACAAACCACTGCTCAAGGAAATAACAGAGGACACAAACAAATGGAAAAATATTCCATGCTCATGGATAGGAAGAATCAGTATCATGAAAATGGCCATACTGCTCAAAGTAATTTATAGGTTCAATGCTATCCCCATCAAGCTACTATTGACTTTCTTTACAGAATTAGAAAAAACTACTTTAAATTTCATGTGGAACCAAAAAAGAGCCCGTATAGTCAAGACAATCTTAAGCAAAAAGAACAAAGCTGGAGCCATCATGCTACCTGACTTCAAACTGTACTACAAGACTACAGTAACCAAAACAGCATGGTACTGGTACCAAAACAGATATATAGACCAATGGAACAGAGCAAAAGCCTCAGAAATATCACCACACACCTACAACCACTTGACCTTTGACAAACCTGACAGTAACAAGCAATAGGGAAAGGATTCCCTATTTAATAAATGGTGTTGGGAAAACTGGCTAGCCATATGCAGAAAACTGAAACTGGACCCCTTCCTTACGCATTATACCTTCCTTACACAAAATTAATTCAAGATGGATTAAAGACTTAAACATAAGACCTAAAACCATCAAAACCCTGCAAGAAAACCTAGGCAATACCATTCAGGACATACGCATGGACAAAGACTTCATGACTAAAACACCAAAAGCAATGGCAACAAAACCCAAAATTGACAAATGGGATCTAATTAAACTAAAGAGCTTCTGTACAGCAAAAGAAACTGTCATCAGAGTGAACAGGCAACCTGCATAATGGGAGAAAGTTTGCAATCTATCCATCTGACAAATATTCAGAATCTGAATTTAAACAAATTGACAAGAAAAAAACAACCCCATCAAAAAGTGGGCAAAGGATATGAACAGACACTTCTCAAAAGAAGACATTTATGTGGCCAACAAACATATGAAAAAAAGCTCATCATCACTGGCCATTAGAGAAATGCAAATCAAAACCACAGTGAGATACCATCTCATGCCAGTTAGAATGGTGATCATTAAAAAGTCAAGAAACAACAGATGCTGGAGAGGATGTGGAGAAACAGGAACACTTTTACACTGTTGGTGAGAGTGTAAATTTGTTCAACCATTGTGGAAGACAGTGTGGCGATACCTCAAGGATCTAGAATCAGAAATAACATTTGATCCAGCAATCACATTACTGGGTATACACCCAAAGGATAAGAAATCATTCTACTATAAAGACACATGCACATGTATGTTTATTGCAGCACCATTTGCAATATCAAAAGCTTAGAACCAACCCAAATGCCAATCAATGATAGACTGGATAAAGAAAATGTGGCACATATACACCATGGAATACTATGCAGCCATAAAAAAGGATGAGTTCATGTCCTTTGCAGGGACATGGATGAAGCTGGAAACCATCATTCTCAGCAAACTAACACAAGAACAGAAAATCCAACATCCCATATTCTCACTTGTAAGTGGGAGTTGAACAATGAGAACACATGGACACACAGAGGGGAACATCACATACCAGGGCCTGTTGGGGGATGGGGGCTAGCAGAGGGATAGCATTAGGAGAAAAACTTAATATAGATGATGGGTTGATGGGTGCAGCAAACCACCGTGGCACGTGTATACCTATGTAACAAACCTGCACATTCTGCACATGTATCCCAGAACTTAAAGTATAATTAAAAAAAAGAAAAAGAATACTCCTAGAAAACTAGGTGTAGAAGGCAATTTCCTTAAATTGATAAATTGGTGAACCACTGAAGTTGTGCTTCAAACATTGTGAACAACATATGAAAGTTCATTATCCCCAGACATATTAACATTATATCACATATATTAACAGTTACTAAGGCATATAAAAAATGAAAAAAGAATATAAGAACAGAAAAGGAAAAAACAACTACATTGTATTATTCCCAAATGATGTGATTGTATACCTAAAAAATACAAAAGTATCTACAAATTAGCAACTAGAATAAGCAAGAGAATGTGGCAGGCTATTGGATAAGAAACCAACTTTAAAAACTCCTATGTTTCTATGTATAAACACAATGAAAAAATAACTAAAACAATCATTTACAACAGCATGAAATATAGTAAGCACTTTGGAATAAAGTTAACCAGTAACAAAATACAAGACCACTCAAGAAAAAATTACTAAGCTTTATTGATAGACCTAAATAAATGAGATATGTCTTTTTGGTGTATCAGGAGACTCACTGATAGATTTAATGCAATTCGATTCAATACGCCAACATATAGGTAGGTTGGGGGGCAGTACATATGTATGTAACTTGATAAGTTGATATTTCCAATTTATTTGCAAATGTAAAGGGGAAGGAGAGCCAAAATTCTCTTTAAGAAGATGGGAAGAATTGCTGTAGTGCGTATCAGGGCTTATCATAGAGCTATATTAATTAAGACAGCATTGTTAGAACTGGGAATTACAAACAGGTCAGTGGAAAGGAAAACAGAACCCAGGAACAGATCCACGCACCAATGAAAATGTGGTTTATAACAAAGATGTCCCTACCAAGCAGAGGGGATAAAAATTTCAATACTTTTTGCTGGAAAAAAAAAGAGTATATAGGAAAATTATAAAATTGAACTTTACAGCTACATATATTTTTAAAAGGTAGATTAGAGGCTCCAAAGCTTCCTAATTTGCCTTTGATATTCAGATAATATAGAATTGGTATATAATGTATAAGATATAATGGGTTTCTGTAAATATTGTAAAGATGCTTTTCTCTCTCTCCCATTTGTATGATTCCTCCAGACCAAAGGTCTCCATGCAAGTAAAGGATAATTGGAGAATAGGTGAAGTTCTAGCCACTGGGATGGCACAAACTGATTTCATTGGTGTAGGGGAAGAGCAGCAACAATATTTGGAATGGAACACTTTAGAACCTGGAGGTGTGGAGAGTGAGGAGAACAATTCACTCTCTCTTTTTTCTCCTAGATCCAACACCTTGGCCTGGCAAAATAATTATGTGGTCTGTGGAGTCTAAGCAGCAACTGCAGCTGACAGACTGACCCTCGGCCTGGTTTGTCATGCCTGTCTATATACTATGAAAATAGAAAATCTCATGTAGACATAGCAGGTCCTGAACTACTTTGCTGTGCCTGATGCCATCAATAGCAACCTCCTAATGTGGAATCTTATCATATGTATACAAACACAATCACTAGCACAACCTTGTTTCAATTCGATACAAATCTGCAAGCTTCTCTTGATGCTAGAACAGCCTTGGACTATACCACGTATGAGAATGAGGAAGCTACAACTACCAGTGAGACTGCTTACCTGGCTTAACCAAACTAGTGCAATGGCTAACCAAATAAAATATAACAGCAAATCCAAAATTAGAGTGACCTCTACCCCTTTCAGTTACATGTTTGCATGTGGGGAAGAGTGGACTGCTAACTGTCTCTTTACTGGGGAGGAGGGCTGCTTTTGGCCCATCTTTGTTTATTTATTGCCAGTGACACCAAAGAATGGCAGCTCATTTTAGACTCCCTTGTATGGGTTCTAAAGCATAAAAGACCTAGTAGTCCTTCCTGGGACTTACTCAGTTGACTGAGTCAGACCCCTGTGGGAATGTTTGAAATCAATACTACAAGTTGGGCTCATCACATGCTTGGAGTTTTGTTATTAGTGGCCTTAATTAAATGGTAGATGAGATTAACTGAACAGATTTGGTCCCAGTCTCTGTTAATCAGAGTGGCCAATGGAGTAGCATATTTATGTGAAAATTCACCAGAAGCCAAGATTTTACTGTGTAGAAACAAGGGGTAGATATTTTGGGGAGATATTCTTCCATAGGTCTTTCTCTCTGCTACATGTTTGCTAACAAAAATGCAAGGCCCTGACAGCGCTTTACCTGGGCCATTTTCCAGGATTGTGTTTGTAATGAGCAACCTTGAGGGACAAACAGCAGGCTTATTACTGCCTCCTGTAAAATCCTAGGTCTCTCAGTCTCAATGTTGCATGTGCAGGCATCCATCTGGACCCTCTTCATCAGCCCTGTGAGACTCGGGGGACAAAAGGAACTGACGCAAACATGCTAATACTCATGCTCTTGCTCTGCTACAAGCAATAAAGTCCTTTGTCTCTCCTAAGAGTCTTGTGGGTTTGGTTTTGTTTTTTGTCCAGCATCCATGAAACAGTAACCGGTGAATTTATTAGGTTGTAAGTAGGATAAAATTAAATCTCAGACCTAACAGTTACATCATCATCATTGCTATTATAAAAATATATAGTCAATGGAAATATAACAGCTTCATTTTCTTGGAAGAGTCAGGGGAGATTTCTCTGGAAGACTGTTAAATTTCTAAAGGATGACACATGTCATTATGTCTGAGCTTCCCACACATAGAGCACAATTCTTGACCCTGAGGTCAATAATTCATGTTGTATAAGTGAAAATGTACTAGCCAATATCAGTTCAAAATTAAATAAAAATCTAAACACAGAATTGAACGTAAGAAATGTCCACAACACAGAATGTGATTTTATTACAAGCTCCTTAAGAACATAGTATTTTACAGATAGAAGATAATTAGTAAAAGTCTTCAATTTAATAAAAAAATTAATTCAAAGACAAGTAGACTATCTGAAGGATGACAGAACATGAAGACCCAAACCAGGTACCATTTGCGTACTAAGTATCTGTCCAAGGTACTAAAGGGGACACAAAGAAATGTGAAATATGGCTTCTATACTAAAGAACATGCAGTACATTGATCCATTTATTTGAAATTTAGATTCTTATTTCTGAGAGTAACTTACCTTCTAGCCCCATTTAGTTTTTATCCTCTCTCCATACACTAAATATCTTCTAGCTATACTAGCTACCAAATAGGCATCATTTTCCTAATGGAAAACTATGAACTCACCCGAGCCTCTGAATGTTACAGTTTGGATATCTCAAAGCATCACACAGAATTTTCACTCCATCATCCTGCAAATCGTTGTTCCCAAGGTCCAGGCTCCTCAGGTTTGGGTTATTCAAAATAACAGAAGCCAGATCCAGACAACATGCATTAGTGAGAACACAGCCCATCAATCTGTAAGAATTACAATAGGAAAAGTGAATCCTTCCATTGTGAGGTTAAATAAGTTTCTTCCTAGGAGATATACCCAGGTATTTGAACCTCTTTTCTCACTCTTTTCTATCTACAATCCAGGACATACATGGGAGGGTCTAATTTATCAGTAAAAATGATGGGATTTCTTAATGAGCAGAATAAACCAGCAGGTAAAACTGTTTTCTTCCACAAACAGGTTATCTACAGAGCTTTAAAAATCAAGGGTATAAACATTTATTTTTACCAATACTTAAAAAAATGAATATAAACTTTCCCAAGGAACTAATAGATCTCTGTGCTTTCAGTTTTTAATATATCTTTAAGTGAAAAAAGTTTCCTGGAATCTATCTCAAAGTATTATCTTCAAAGAAGAAAGCTACATATAAAAAGATATTTATTCCAGGTCCTTTGCATGGCATTCAAGAGCACTCACAATCTGGCCTCAAGCTTTCTCTTTCCATATTTTGTCCCCACATTATTCTCTAACCATACACATGCATTTTTCTCCAACTAAACCATATTTGTTGTTGCGTCTCTTCTATTCTCTCTCCTTTCCTTCTGTTTAGCATATCCCCACATAACAGAATCTTCATCATTTCTCTAGCCTAAAGTAACTCTGTCTCCACTGAGAAGTCCCAGCCTCAATCCCTGAGACTGTTGTCATATCCTTATAACAACGTATGGAATATATTGTAATTTGCTTTATATTTATTTCCCTGTTATCAGCATTTTATGTTATTTGGGGACAAAAGCATCACCTTAATGACTTTTAGTTCCCTCAGCATCTAGTTCATATTGGTTGAAAATATTGGTTAAGAGAATTGACATGGTCTGCATAGAGGCTTTGGAAGGTAATTAAGAAAGTACAGCTTTGTTTACAGCAATGCTAAGGACAGAAAGTGGGCTAGCAAAGACCTTGGGTATATAGGTCACTTAGAAATTATACGTCTGTAGTTAAATGAAGACATTGGATTTAACAACATCCATTAAGTAAAACTTTGTCTTCCAGTTGAATAATGATCAATGAAATTCCAGAGAATCACATAGTAACCCATGTCATCTACATTTTCCTAAAGTAAGTAAATGTATTTATTGAACCCTACAGTGTAATTGCCTTGTGTTTATAGGTGTCACATTAAATTATTAAACTCATTTGGAAGTTTAGTTATCATGAGTCAGTCTGGTCAAGACAAATACTTCTGGGTCAACCAAAGAGCTTGACTTTATAGCTCTAAAAAACTATGTTGGGGTTAGACCATTAATGACTCACAAAAGTTGCTGGTCACTTGGGAGGCCCTGGTAGGAAAGTGAGCTGAGGTTGCTAAGTGACGCCTCTGTTTTGATTCATGCTGGCCAAAGTATTTATGCAATGAAATACTAAATACCATACAGTCATTAAAATAATCAAGAAGATAATTTGAAATAAGTATTTCAATGTATTTCTTTTTTTATTCTCAGCATGCACACCTCGATAAATGTATTTCTGAAATACTATCAAGTGAAAAGGAAACCCCAAATCATGTCCATAAAGCAATCACAATTATGTATGCACATGCAATGGATATGTATGCAAATCTGCTCATAGAGTGAGAAAACATAATATTAATGAAAATGGTTGGAGTTTAAAAATGTGTAGGATATTGTTAAAAATCCCCTTTCCATTTATTTGAAAGTTGACTTAATTATAACCTGAGTTTAAATATAAATCTAAAAGAAAAACTAGTAGAGCACAATTTCAGCTTCATGGATAAAAGTAGAGGACACACAGTAGATTCACTAGGACACAACCAAGGAAAGAATAAAATGGCTACTGTTCAGCAATAGATTGTAGGATACTGTAAAAATCTCCTTCCCAATTTCTTTGAAAGTTGACCTAATTATAAACCTGAGTTTAAATATAAATCTAAGAGAAAAACTAGTAGAGAACAATTTTAGCTTCTGGATTAAAAGTAGAGGACACACAGTAGATTCACTGGGGCACAACCAAGGAAAGAATAAAATGGCCACTGTTCAGCCTGATGCCTCTGGTCCTCATTACCTGAGGAAAGTTTATTAGAATTACTATGGTAATTATTTTTAGAAATCTGATGAGCAGACTTCCCCAGCTTGTCTCAGGCAGAAGAGAGAGGGAAAATCAGCTTTATATTCTTTTCTCTGATAGATGCTCGGTTCTCAGCCTTTCTTTCAGTATCTCCCCAGACACTCTGTTGTTGAAACTACACAAAAGTAAAGCAACAGAAAACCTACTCCAAGTCCTGAAGATTACAGCTTGGATGCCGAAAGACATCACACAGAAGCTTCACTCCATTGTCTTGTAGCCAGTTTGATCCTAGATCCAGATGCGTCAGGCTCTTGTTGTGTAGAAGAGAAGTTGACAGATATTCACTGCTAAGTGAAGTGAAATGGCAACGCCTCAGCCTACAGGAAGGACAATGTGAAGAAAGATGGAATCATTGCTCTACTGTCCAGAGATTTCTTTCTCTGAAGAGATTTCATGATTTGATCCCTTATCTATTTGCCAACATTCCATCTCAGATGAAACACCCTCACTGCCAGCCTGTCTCACTTGGGAAACAGATATACATCAAATTGGGCTACAAACTAGACTCATATTCTTCAGCATTTTTCTTACAATAAATTAAATGCTAACCTCATTACATTACACATATACATAGTACTCTGTTGTAGAAGTAGCTCCATGGACTAGAAGAACAGGCAGATGGAGTAGAATAAGAGTAATCTTAATAAAGTAAGTACTCTTTGTATGTAATAGAAGCGGCATTTTCAAACAGTAAGGAAAATCCATATTATGCCATTATTGCTTTTGTACAATAGATCTGATATATGGGGGAAAATAAGTTTAAGCCTTATAACAAAATAAATTTGGAATAATTTAACATGTAAACGTTAAAATTAAACCATGAAGAGTATGAGATGACATATGTGTATTTTTTTTAAAAGAAAGGTACTTCCAAACTCCTTGAGGTCATGAGGCAGAATTTGACATCACAAAAAATTTTAAACTTATCTGTTCTAAAAATGACCATAAAGAAAGTTAGAAATAAAGCAACATGCTAAGAAAATTATTTGTAATATATAAAAAATAATAATATATGTGATATTAATAACTATAAGATATATATAATAGAAAACATCAGAAAAAAACAGCCCATGAAGAGGAAATTCCTAAATATAAAAGGCCAAAAACATTTGAAAAGATGCTCAAGATTTAAATTACTTTAAAAGTTACTTTTCAACTATTTAATTAATACAGATCAAAAAGATTGTAGATGTCCAATGAGGGTGTTAAAGTGCAGGTCCCTAGACTGCTGCTGGGAATATAAATAATCTATCTGGAAGGCAATTTAACCATATTTGGCCAAATTAAAACCTTGGCTTATTAATTCAATGTTTAGAAAATTATCTAACAAAAATGAGCAGAATAATCACAATGTGATTCAGACATACAACAGAGTGCTATATTTCTGTTCTGAGCTCAGATCATAGACTAGGATAGGTGGTAGGCTTTAGTTCTAAATTCATCATTTTCTTGTGAGATATTAAGCAAGGTGCATTATCTCCCTAAGGCTCACATTCCTCACCTGTAGAGTGAGGCCCCTCAAAATTGGGTGGTCAATTTGACACCATCGGGTACTATTTTGCAGATTAAGCATGTTTAAAACAAGATCCAGAGTAGAGTTAGGACACAATAAATGGCAATTATTAATATCACTTTCACCTTCTTCATTAAGGGTAACAGGGAAAAAGCAAGGGACAGAATGTGTTCATAATATTTTACTATTTTAAACATATTTCAAAATGTACAATATATATTAAGGATAAAAACTTGAAGACACTTACACAAGGCTCTTCAGAGTACATTGTGCATGTTGCAGGGCATCACTCATAAGCTTTACTCCACCATCACCCAAGACATTGTCTGCCAAGCACAAATGTGTCAGTCTTTTATTGCTGATGAGAGCCAAAGAAAGATACTCACAGCCAGCCTCTGTGAGACCACA
Organism: Homo sapiens; assembly: GCF_000001405.40. Lineage (NCBI taxonomy): Eukaryota > Metazoa > Chordata > Mammalia > Primates > Hominidae > Homo > Homo sapiens. Next base: position 7,058,289 of record NC_000011.10, on the reverse strand, counting down.
GCTTTCTAAGCTGAAAGAGAAAGAGATGAGAAGAGATCTGTCAATTCCCAAAGCCCATGCTTCTCTTCTCCTTCACAGGGAAATCAGTGGCACTTATAACCCCCATACCTCAACTATAAAATTAACCTCAACAAACCTATTTAAATTACGAATTCCATTGCAGCTGTATGCAGGATATGATGAAACAAAACACGGAAGGGGAGAGGGGAAGCTTGGAAAAGAATGAAAATAAAGAGGTCAATCAGAAAAAAATGATAGGTCTAAAAGTGAAGTAAAAGAGAGGGAAGTAGAGGAAGAGAAGGGGGATGCATGTAGAGCTTATTCAGAATTGACAAACGAGCCAGTTAGTGCCAAGACCCAAGAAGTTTCCCTATCAGATCACAATTAAGCTACACAGAACCAAGCAAAATGACTCTACAGAAAACAAAACAGAAACACTCACGACAGTCTCTCTAGATAACACTTTGGATGTCTTAAGGCCTCACACAAAAGCTGCACTCCATCATCCAACAGATTATTGGTTGACAGATTCAGAAATATCAGGCTCTGGCTTCTGATGAGAGCATTAGATATATTTAGACAACAAAATACAGTTAGGTTGCAAGATTCCAGCCTGGAAAACAACACAGAAAAGCAGGAATGACCACTCCTTAGAGAATAATTACAACCAACACCTACCGATCCCAAAGGTAGGAAGTTTCCTAATCTTTGGAATCTTGCCTGAAAAATCCAACTTCTCTACACAGAAAAAAAGTTATTTAACTAAAGCATAAGGCTCTGACAGAGTTAAGGAGGGAAGGGAAGGAGATTGTTTATCACATTCCCATCCCCTTAATTCCCTATGAAAATACATTTGAGAGCATTCAAAAATATCTTTAAATGATAATATTTTTTAGTCTGGGAGGAATTTCCGCTAACTACAACTTGGAAGATATGGCGTGAAGGATGACTGTATTCTACACTCTGACTTCTGAAACAGAACAGAAATGGACAGGAAGTTGGGAGCAAAAGCTGTGTCTCCCGTGAGCTCATTTATTCATGAGCCCGTGTTTTCTGACGAATCCAGTCCTTAAGAGTGAAAAACAATAAGTAAATCATAAATAAAACAAAATTGTTTCTAAAGATTAAAAGGAAGAGAAACAGAAAAAGTACATGTAGAGAGACTCATATTTAGAGACAACCTGTGCCTTGTACATGTTGGGGAGTAATACTAACCCTTTGTAATGAGTCAGGCAGCAGCAGCAGCAGCATTTCTGGTATTTGGAATTTCTCTGGGTATTCCTTTATAATCAAAGACTTACCAACTTGAGTCACTCAAGAATTGTTTCTCGTCATCAAAATCAGGGTCTATAGAGGAAGGAACAGAGAAGCTTCCTCCTAAGCCCAGAATTAAATCTTAATAGATGACCTAGAACATGGCCTAAGGCTGAAAAAGCTCAGCTTGCCCAAAACCACAATTACTTTTGCACTAACCCATAACTAATAATCACCTTAAGTTAAAAATTACTTGGAAGTTTCTGGACACAAATGTATATGTACCACATTTTCTTTATCCATTCACCTTTTGATGGACATTTAGGTTGCTTCCAAATCTTGGAAGCAAAACAGAACAAAAATGAAAGAAAATATATCCCACTTATGAAGGAAAAATGGTACTGAAAACATTTTTAAATGTTTCTAACTGTAGATATAAATATTAAATGCTTGATAGTTCATTTTCTCTTATCCTTCCCATATTATGAGTTTCTTGAGATTTCTTTTTTTTTTTTTTTTTGTATTAGTGCTAATAGAATTTCAGCTATGGGACTGCCTAACTCTTTATGTATGAAATCTTAGCCTCATTAAAATAAAATGTTCCCTCTTTCCCTTGCAGCTGCAAAGAAGAGATCATTACAAATCAGAAAATCTTTTATAAGAATGATTTTGTCTTATTATAATAATGAAATCTTATAAGATACCTGGACTTTAGAAATTATTGCTATGCCTTGTGAAAACAACCCTTACCTACTATTAAGTCTGTACTTTTTATCAATTGTCTTGCTTTGTGTCACTCTTGTAATATTCACATTGATATTTCTGAATTCCTAAATTTTATAAATATTGGAAAGATTTTTTCAAATCAGAAAAAAAATCATTAACACTCTCCTCTCACATGTATAAAGTAATAAAAAATAAAACTCTTTCCTAGTTTTCTAGAGTTTGGAGGTTTTTTCTCACCTGTATTAATATATAACATCAATCACCAGTGATTCAATCAAAAGGGAAGCCAAAAGCTGAGGATTATGGCTCCAAACTGACCCCTAAATGTAAGCCAGCAAAACAGGAGACAGATTAGCTTATCACTTATATTTAGTTCCTTCTTAAGAGCCTGCACGACTTCCTCTTAATAGTGCTACCAAAACAACATCCTTGGCAAAAATTTCCAAAGCCCAAAGCTCCTTAAAAGTCAGCAAGTTATAAATGTTTTTGTTGTCCTTACTGCTTGCTATCTGTAGCACTGACCAGCTGTTATTTGGTATAGGTCCATAAGATGGTACAGATGCTGTTGACTTAGAGAACCCATGTTCCATCTACCTAGAATAAGCTCTGCTTTGAGAGTTGGTCAGGGTAGGATTTTAACGGATGCAAGACGCTGGAGCTTTCTTTATGAGTTGAGCCCTGTTGGAGTAAGTTCTCCTGTCCTGCTAGCAAACAAGAATCAGAAAACTGCCATTACCTGAAAAAGGGGCTATTCCTCAATAAAGAGGAACTGCTAACTCCTGAAGATGAACTCCCAGGAACTCAAAGATGCTGCGTGAATGTATTTTTCCCTTCTGAAAATGTCTGCTGTGTAATTTCCAGGTTGCTCAAGAACTTCGTAATTTATTTTTGTTTTTTGAGTATGAGATTATTTTTCTGATATGAATTAGAAATTGAGAGATAACAGGAGAGTTGTTGCCGAAGCTATATGGTTGCAGGAGCTTTTTGTTTCTAAGGATCAATATAAATGTACTGCAGGTGACAGAGGAATGATATTGCCAAGAGAAGGAGCATTTCCACTAAGAGGATAGGCTTCATGGGCCTATTCTAAACCAAGGTGAATCATCAGATAAATTAATTGGCTCTGTAATTTGAGATTTTGGTTTTACCACAATGATAAATAAAAATACAACATGCAGGGATAAACCTACACATCTACAGTGGACTCATTTTCGACAAAGGTGCCAAGAACACATATGGTGGAAAGGACAGTCTCTTTAGTAAATGGTGCTGGGAAAACTGGATATTCATATGTAAAAGAAGGAAACTAGACTCCTATCTCTCAACATATACAAAAATCAAACCAAAGTAGATTAAAGACTTCAATCTAAGACTTCAAACTGTTAAACTATTAAAGTAAAACATAGGGGAAATGCTCCAGGACATTGGACTGGGCAAAGATTTCTTGAGTAATACCCCACAAGCATAGGCAACCAAAGCAAAAATGGACAAATGGGATCATAGCAAGTTAAAAAGCTTCTGCACAGCAAAAGAAACAACCAATAAGGTGAACAGACAACCCATAAAATTGAAGAAAATATGTGCTAACTACCCATTTGACAAGGGGCTAATAACGAGAATATATTACATAAGGAGTTCAAACAACACTACAGGAAAAAAATCTAATTATCCAATTAAAATGGGCAAGAGATCTGAATAGATATTTCTCAAAAGAAGACACACAAATGGCATATGCAAAGATGCTCAACATCATTAATAATCAGAGAAATGTAAATCAAAACTACAATGAGAAATTACCTCACTCCAGTAAAAATGACCTATCCAAAATTCAGTCAATAACAAATACTGGTGAGGATGTGGAGAAAAAGGAACCCTCATACACTGTTAGTAGCAGTGTAAATTAACACAACTATTATGGAGAACAGTTTGGAGGTTCCTCAAAAAAACCAAAACTAGAGCTACCGTATGATCCAGCAATTCCACTGTGGAGTATATACCCAAAAGAAAGAAAATCAGTGTATTGAAGAGATACCTGCACTCCCATGTTTACTGCAGCACTATTCACAATAGCCAAGATTTGGAAGCAACCTAAATGTCCATCAAAAGGTGAATGGATAAAGAAAATGTGGTACATACACACACTGGAGTACTATCCAGCCATAAAAAAGAATGAGATCCTGTCATTTGCAACAACATGGATAGAACTGGAGATCATTATATTAAGTGAAATAAGCCAGGCACAGAAAGACAAACTTTCCATGTTCTCACTTATTTGTGGGAGTGAAAAATGAAAATATGGAGATATCTCATGGACATAGAGAGTAGAATGATGGTTATCAGAGGCTAGGAAGCACAGTGGGGGAATGAGGGGAAGAGGGGAATGGTTAATGGGTACAAAAAAATAGTTAGAAATAATGAATAAGACTGAGTATTTGCTAGGACAACAGGGTGACTAACGTAAAAAATAATTGTACATTTTAAAATAACTAAAAGAGTATACTTGGATTGTTTAATACAAAGGATAAATAAATGCGTGAGGTGATAGATACCCCATTTACCTTGATGTGATTATTATGCATTGCATGCTTGTATCAAAATATTGCATGTAACCCGTAAGTATACACACCTACTATGTACCTAAAAAATTGAAAATACAGAAGTGAAAGTAAAAAAAAATACAAAATCCTCTCAGAAAAAAATACAAATGATGGCTTTTTAGACCACAAAACTTCTGTATTTCTTTAATGAGAAGTCTAAATTAAATAATTTCCTAAGTATCCTACAATTCTCCTGTAGACATATTACTTACACTAATATTTTAAAGTATATATATATATATAATTTAAATCATATATATATGATTTAAATGAGTTAACTAAATGATGAGCATCTTTATAAACCGGAAGCTTGTAAATCTGGGAATCAGCCAAGATTATAAATATTTTGTACTATCTGGGTCAAGTTTTGAGGTATCACATTGTTTGGCTATATTGTTAGTTATCAACAGTGGTTATGTTATTCCTAATATTAACTTAAATACAGTTTCCAAACTTACTGATTTTGAAATGTTGAAGTAATACGGTATTTTAAAGATTAGTTTATAATTTATCTAAATGTTTCTAGAGAGGTTTAATTTCAAAGTGGGAAAATAAATTACAGTCTTACCACACAATTTGTTCTTCATATTAAAATAAAGACAGCAAAAATCAATATACTGTCTCATAATCAATATTATTTCTGTTCAAAAAGTTATGGTCTCAGCCTTTAAAGGATAGTTCACTTAAACTTTTTTGGTATGATTATGAAGCTGTGTATACATATATATCATGGTTTATTAATGAATAAAAGAAATTTTGAATGGAGAAGAGGACTGGTAGTTTAGTCTCTGCTTGCTGGTAGTCTTCCCAGGTGGCAGAACCTCTGGTTTTAAACGGTGTATTCTCATTTCCCCAAATTCTGTTTACATTTATGATGATTCATTAGGCATTTCATGATTATAAACAATTGTATTGAGCCACAGAGTTTCCTCACTCCTGAAGAAGCAAAAATTTCTATTGGTCCATATGCTATCTACCTGTTAAGTAATATTTTACTCTAGTTGATAATGAGACACAGCTGTGGATATTTGCCATTCTCAGGCAAGTTCCTCTTAGCCAGCTTTGTTTTTGTTTTTTTTTAAACACAGTCTTGCTCTGTTGCCCAGACTGGAGTGCAGTGGCGCCATCTTGGCTCACTGCAACCTCCGCCTCCCAGGTTTCAAGCAATTCTCCTGTCTCAGCCTCCTGAGTAGCTGGGATTACAGGTGCGCATCACCATGCCCAGTTAGTTTTTGTATTTTTAGTAGAGATGGGGTTTTGCCATGTTGGCCAGGCTGGTCTCAAATTACTGGCCTCAAGTGATCCAAGGTTGTCAGCCTCACAAAGTGCTGGGATTACAGGCGTGAGCCACCACACCCGGCCTTATCTAACTATTCTAGTTGCCCCCCTTCTGAAATATTAGTCTTCTAATTCAAAGTCTATGAAGATATAGAGAGTGCTCTGCATTTATATGCCATTTTGGTACCCTTCAGGTGGCTGTTTTGTGGAAGCAACAATCATTCCCTTACCTTGCTTATAAAGCCCCAATAGCAGAGCATATGCAAACTAAGAAGAGATCCTGGGCACAATCAGAAATTATTGGACTATGCCAAGGTTTCTGTTTTTGTTTTTGGTCTCTCCTTGCTCAGCAAATTTTAAGAGCTTACCTTAAAGCATATTTTAAGACCTATTATAAGGCCTATAATGTGGAAAAAAATTATCAAGACAAAGAGAATAGATCTTTCTCCTCTTCTTGAGGGAGGCCTTGGGTAAATATTATAGTAAAGCATTCTCATGAAAATTAGTGATTATGGGCCAGGTGCGATGGCTCATGCCTGTAATCCCAGCACTTTGGGAGGCCAAGGCAGGCGGATCACAAGGTCAGGAGATCGAGACCATCCTGGCCAACATGGTGAAACCCCATCTCTACTAAAAACACAAAAATAAGCCGGGCATGGTGGCATGGGCCTGTAGTCCCAGCTACTCAGGAGGCTGAGGCAGGAGAATCGCTTGAACCCAGGAGGCAGAGGTGGAGGCTGCAGTGAGCCGAGATCGCACCACTGCACTCCAGCCTGGGTGACAGAACGAGACTCTGTCTCAAAAAAAGAAAGAAGAAAATTAGTGATTATGTATCCTTTCAGTATGTTCATGTACAGGGGCTCATATGAGCAATTTAAAGTTTTAGAAGGTATTTTATTTTTAAATTAGCCAAGTTCTAACAATCACTGGGGATCATATGTTGCAAGACAGACTGGCAAAGTCCTACTGATGTATCGACACTGCCCACATCTACAGAGAGAGTATAACATCAAAATGCAATTCTAAAAACTTGTGCATGGTCTATACACAAACCAAACTAATGAGGACATTCATACTACCCATGGCTCTTATAACATGAGATATGAAGCAAACAGAAAACTGGACCTTCTCCCACACGAAATGTTAATAGGACCATTGATTGCTCCTCAGTGGCCATCCACACTGGGGGAACATGCAGTCCCACATAATGGAGTATGAGATTATTACAAAGCTCTGATGACTTTTGCCAAAGCATTGTATTTACTGTTGCAAGGAGCCCTACTAGTTGACCCAGAAAGATGGTTTCCTATTTGAAATCCTGGCAACTTGGTCTGTATCAAGGCTTACCAGCGGACGACATTACTCAAACCTCAAATGGAAGGGATCTTATCAAGTCCTACTGATCTGTCAAGCACCAAGCTTTTCTTGTCTTGGATCCACAGCTCCCACTGTAAGAAAACATCTTTCCTCTTTTCCTCAATTTAACAGCTTTTTGCTACTAATACATTTTATTTTTAGATATAGGAAACAGTGACATACTTCTTACCTGAGTTTCAGACTAGATATGTAGGTTACAGAAAATGCCTCATAATATCTTAAAACTGCTTAGTAGGTAAAACCTTTACTCTGACCTGGCCTCCTAACAACTGAACTCAACCTATGTTTGAGAATTATCCAACAACTTTCCAGATATGCTGTAAGTGAATTCCATCTTATAAAAACCGATAAGAGTTTTTAAAACGTCAAAGAAAGTCTTATTCCAGACTTCATTTATTTTTCCTACACCTGGATTATAATTTGCTTCCTACAAATACAGATCTACTTTGGCCCTTCATGCATCAAGCTTCAGTCTTGGCCACCCTGAACTGAGTCCAGGGCTTATAAAAACTTCTAATGCAAAACTTACTGTAACTATTTGTTTTGTCTGGTTTTGTCAGAAACCTATTTCATTGACTTTCATTGAAAAATAAGATCTTTCTTAAAACCTGTCACACAATGTGGAGAACAGTATGACTGCTAATCCTTTCACTTTCATCGGCCAAAGAAGAGTCACCACTCAGATCAATAGTGTGTGGTAGCCAGCAAGCACCTTGAAAGAGGACCATTTCCATGCTCTTCTTTCTCAGCCTTCTGGGCTGGTCACTGAGTTGAAGTTCTAAATTGAGGGGGAGTCACCAACAAAAATCAAATAATAGTGAGTCTGCCCCAGCACTGCCCCCAGTTACATTAAAGAACATCCCCCACTGTATTATTTTCTACGAGAGTTCAAAGATACAACGAATCTATTGCAGCACTTAAATATTAGAAGTGTTAAATATTTATAATTCTGAATCTGCTCTTATTCCCACCACCAGCAGATTTAGGAGATGGAGACACAGAGAACTACACAATGAGAAATCTTCCTGGGGAGATGGGAGGAATGAGAAGTCCTACCAGGATGAAATCAGCTTGATTCTACAGATGCTTGCTACCCCATATCATGAAAGTAGATTTAAGCCGGTCCTATGAATAGCAAATCCAGGCTGTAAGAGTCTACTTGGATAGACAAAAGCCTCAATTATAAAAACAAAACAAGACAAAACAATTCAAAGCTTACCTGAGAGTCTGTAGTTTACACTCTGGGTGTTTCAAGGCCTCACACAATGACTTTACTCCATTATCCCCTATATCACTCCCTTTTAGGTCAAGATGCATCAGATTCTTGTTATGAATCAAAGAAGTAGAGATATCCTGACAACCATCAGGGAAAGTGATAAATTTCAACCTTCAGAAGAAAAATATGCAGGAGGTATTACAAAACCATTTCTCTCCTTGGTTACAGGATCCCTTTCTTTTCAATCTAATTCTTGGATATTACATGAATATTCTTTTATCTTATTTTCATCTAAAACAATTGGGTTATAACTTCAATTTCTATTTATGACCTGATAATTGACACTCCCCAGTTTTTTTTACCTTAACGGAAAAGAAGGTGATAACATCATGAAAAGCAGAAGAGGAGCCTCTTTAACTTGTAATCCCAGGAATGACTATCAAAAATTATCAGGGCCATTCCAAGTACTACAATAACATTAATTCACAATAGCCAAATCTTTAAATAATCCAAGGTTAATTCAAAATTAGCATCAACTGTCTGATGTGCAGTAATAACAAAACGCTGTTGCAAAACATGCTGTGCCATCTTGGGGACTTCGTTAGGCATACGGAGGCAGGTGTACGGAGGCAGCCCAAGCAAAATATTATGAAGTTAAATCTGCCAATTTTTTTCCTACTTTCTACCTCCTAACTCAGTCAATGTCAGATATTTCTGATTCTTCTATAGTGTCTCTGCTAGTCCCCAATGCCCTTCTGTTCACTGTCCAAAACCTCGCTTTGTAACACCACCTTTCCTCCTTTCGGCCCACCACCCACCCTCCACCCTCACTCCCCTCACCCCAGGCAAGTACACACAGGAAAATAAAGCCTTTACCCATTTATAGCACTAACCATCCTCATCTAGTAAAAGTGCCTAAGGCACTCAGTAAACATAAATGGCACCATCTCACTTATTAGGAAAAAGGGACCACAGTAAGACAGACCACATTAAGGTGGCACAGACTGAGAACAGTCATCATGGTGTCATCCCACTGATGCAACCCTCCCATTCTAAGAAAGGAAGTCAGTTAACCAAGAAGGCATTGGCTATTGTGAAGATCCGGATTGATGACATCCAATGAAGGGACAATATGGGGGAAATGTTTAGGGATGAGTGGAAAGGACTTCCAGGAACCCCGTAATCATAACATACATCTAGTTGTCTTACTACATCTATATGTAAGACCAAGCCTACTCTAGATGCTTGAAATCTAAGGTCAGAACTCACTAAAAACACTGAGATCAGGAGGAAAATATTTGGTGAGAAGCCTGTCCCCAGCCCCCACCCAAAAGAACATCTATTTTCAGTGCTAATGGAAACAAAGATCTATCATTTGTTCAGCATTCAGTTCATACTAAGCAACAAATGTACCTTGTACATATTGACAGGCACAAAATACAGAGATTAGGATCAGTTTCAGCTCCTAGTGGAGTCCTTACACAAAAAGGTAAGAGACATGTGAACAATCAACATTTTAAAGTGATTATCTAGAATCCAATTAAGATAAATTAAAATTTAAAAAAGACTGACAGCATCTAATGTTGGCAAAGATTACCCTTATTCCTAACAGGTTAGGGAAACCTCCAGGGGTCTATTAACAAGAGAATGAATAAACAAATTATAGTATAAGTATAGTTATACAATGGAATACTAATCAGCAATAAAAAAGAAACTACTAAAAGTTGCAACAAAATGGATAAATTTTAGAAGACATTTTGTTGAGCACAAGAAGATGGATATAGCCAGGTGTGGTGGCTCATGCCTGTAATCCCAGCACTTTGGGAGGCCAAGATGGGTAGATCACTTGAGGTCAGGAGTTTGAGACCAGCTTGGCCAACATGGTGAAACCCTGTCTCTACTAAAAATACAAAAATTAGCCAGGTGTGGTGCTGCGTGCCTGTAGTCCCACCTACTCGGGAGGCTGAGGCAGGAGAATGGCTTGAACCTGGGAGGCGGAGGTTGCAGTGAGCCGAGATTGTGCCACTACACTCCAGCCTGGTGACAGAGCAAGACTGTCTCAAAAAAAAAAAAGAAAAGAAAAGAAAGAGAAAGAAGATAAATTAAAAAAAATACATACTGTATAAATCAATCAAAATGATTCCAAAAAGATACAAAGCTGAACTCTGGTGACAGAGATTAGAAAATGATTGTCTCTGGGAATGGATGGGGTGAGAAGATTGAACAGAAAGGGATAGGCTGGACATTGTGGCTCATGCCTGTAATCCCAGCACTTTACGAGGCTGAGGCAGGAGGATCTCCTCAGCCCAGAAGTTTCAGACCAGCCTGGGCAACACAGTGAGACCACATCTCTACAAAAAATTAAAAAAAAATAGCCTGGCATGGTGGTACATGCCTGTAATCCCAGCTACTTGGGAGGCTGAGGTGGCAGGATTGCTTGAGCCCAGGAGTTCTAGCTGCGATAGCATCACTGCATTCCAGCCTGGACAACAGAGTAAGACCCTGTCTCAGGAAAAAAAAAAACGAAAGGGGTACAAGGGACCTTTCTGAGATAAATGAAAATATTTTCTATCTTGTTTTGGGTGTGTTGGTTATAAAGATGTTTACACTTGTCAGAACACAACAAACTGAACATTATTTGTGGACTTTGTTAAATGCAAATTTTTCCTCAATAGAAAAAAATTTAAGAGGATAGTAAGTTCCAGAACATGTCCTTGAAAGTGCATTGGTGACCTGCCTAGAATGTTTTAGCTCTGTGCTCTTCATTTAGAAAGTTCCTAATCAAGCCTGAAAAACCCATGTGAACAGCTACTATGCCCTGTGGAATCACTCTGAGAACCAGTTAGTAATGATCCCATGTCCCCAGAGGATTCCATTGTTCCTGTTTATTTTACAAAATGGATTGTAAGTATTTGTTTAGCATTGGCTTCCCCTAACGAGTATGAGTGGAAGATGGGACACAGAAAGAAATTAGAATAACTCCATTAAATTTTCTCATACCAGACTTACAGTAGCTTTTGTAGTTTACAGTTTGGGTGCCTTAGTTCATGATGCAGGATATTCATTGCTGATTTATCAAGGTTGCTATGGTACAGGTCCAATTCTCTCAAGTGTTCATTTGTATGAAGCACAGAACAGAGATCTTGCCAACAGTGAGTAATGCGATCACCATCCCTTTGCATAAATAATTGAGAAAAGAAAAACAATGCTGATTTTATTTCAGCCTAGCCAACTCTCAGAGGATAGTATTGGAGTAAAAGTAAGTGTACTTTGGAAAGGCAAGAGCATCCAGTGCAGCTCCACCGTGGGCACAGTCCACCAGGAAGTCTTCCTCTGGGCACTCCAGAGGTCTTATTTGTCCAATAGCTCTCCCGTTTCCCATCCACTCCCTTCAACACACACAAAATAAAAACCAGAGAAGCTTTACTTTAGAGGAAGCAACTCAGGAGGGATAAGAGAGAAGTATTCAAATACTTGAAGAGCCAATATCAAAAAGAAAAATAAAATTTGGTCACAAAGAATATGATTAGGATTAGTGGGTAGACATTAGGTGTAAAGTGGTATAGATTAAAAACCACAGGCCTGAGCCCCAGGTCTACCACTTACTAGCCATATTATTTTAAGAGAGTTGCATAAGTTCTATAACTTGCAAATTTTCATCATCTATAAAATGGAAATGTCTCCTTTCACAAAGATGTGGAAATTTAATAGTGCATTTTAAAGGGTACACAAAAGCACACTGTAAACTTTAAATACTTTATAATTTAATTATTAGGAATATTATCAATAAACTCATGAACAAATAAAGGGTAATAAAACAGGGGACAACCTGGTGTTTATAAGCTCGACAATGGAGCGGCTCTGAGTCCCAATTCAACACTGCCACTCACTGAACTTAGTTATTCTGGAAAATTTACTAACCTATGTGAGCCTCAGCTTCATGATCTTGATAAATGAAGATAATAGTATCTATTTTTTAGGACAACTGTGAAAATTCAATAAGGCAGTATGTAGAAAATGCTTAGCAAATGTCTCATGCTATAAGTGTTCCTAGTAATCAGTAACTGTTATATACATATATATGTATATATTAAATATAATATATACAAAACATGTAAAAGTCTAGTGTGTTGCCTTATATATAACAGCTAGTCAATAAATATTCATTCCCATATCTTAAATTGGAATGAATGACAGTTCATAGTGATGGTCTATATCACTTGAGGTCTTAAATTTATAAAAACAGGATAATAAATTATTCTTTCAAGCATTCAAGTGTTTCCTCTGTGCGAACACGAGATAAAATGGTGAACCATACAGAGCTCCTGCTCTCACAAAGCTTACAATGTAGTTATATTATAGAAGAGACTGAGGTCACCTACAGTTTTTCTTTTAAAACATTGGGTTCTCTGGCTCCTTATTTTAGCAACAATCAACTCTAGTACTAGATAACTCTACAACATAGGTAAGGAAAGCTAGCAGGAGAACTGGCAATCTAGTGGCCAGAATACTGTTCTAGCATTTACTATTAGGCATAAAAGACGTTTTAATGCCCTGTTAAATCACATCTTCTTTAAATAGAACTCTGAAGTCAGAATTAAGAAAATTGACTGACGATTACTCACAATTTTCCAAGGTGGGTAAAGGTCATAGCATCAGGGCCCACAATTTCTACTCCCACAGTTTGCAAATAAATGAAATGTATGCTCTTATAAGAAAGGAGTGATTCTGCAATTGTATATAATGGTACTGAAACAGCTTGGATAAAGTTAGCAAACCAAGAAATTACAATCAGATGTGTGACCTCAGTCAAGTTATATGCCTTCTTGGTATCACAATTTTGTCCTAAGTAAAATGGAAATAATAGCACCTACCTAATAAGACTATCAGAAGACTAAATGAGATCAAGGACTTAGAAGACTGTCAGGTTATGTGATAAGCACTTAGCCACTTAACTATTATTTGATGTGTGCTTGAATCAATAAATTTTCTAGGTATATGTCTCTGAGTTTTGTAATCTTAAAAATAGAGATGGTTGCCAACAACATTAAATTGCACATTATGTTAAATATCCAGTTCACTATACAACTATATAGCACATAGGAAGTCCTCAATTAATTTTATATACATCTGGGAATGAATTCCATAGTTCAAATCTTTCCTCAGATTTAGATGGGTAGTCAGAAAAGGCAACTTGAGAAAGGAGGTAGAGTAGAATAATGTACGTAAAACACTTAAGGTTCATTTCTTTTTTCAAAAATATTTATTTAGCACCTACTATTTCTTATTAACCTCCAGTGTCTCCAGATAGGCATTAAAGGGCTGAGACCCTTCACAAACTACAAAACAAAGGCCAACCAATGTCTGGGCAATAGAGAAAGCGAGCTAGGTCAGTGGAGTACGGAGGAATATAATACAGAGAGATAACCTGTGTTTACCAGGTTCAGCAGAAAATTTCTGGTCCCTTATTCTGGATGACATTATCTTTAGAAATCAAATATACTTATTATCATGGATGCAAGTTTGTGCCATGCCACATTCCTCCTTGAAGACTGAAGTGCTCATTCCCCCTGAGTTGTTGAGATTGTCAACAATTGAGAGTCCTCAGCCCAGTCCCTCTCCTGGTATTGCCTTCAGGCCAAAAAAAGCCATCTCAGGAAAGTTTTTGCCCACTCCTCACCAGTAGCCATGATTGGTCAATAAGGGGTTTAAATGCTTAGCCTCCCTGCCTCAAGATGGGACAACTCCAGAGGGTTATCTCAGCTCTGGGACCTCAGCTAAACGCCTCCTCCCTCTGACAAATATCTACGTCTCTCCCTTACAGGGCACTTCCAGGGAATGGCCCTAACACACTTACCAAGTGTTAGTTGGGAGGCTTGTTTTTAATATCTTCTTCTCAAATACCACAGTTACAGACAGCCTGATGGTCCGCAAACACCGGCAGTGCTTAAGGCAGAAAGAAGATACAAGCAAATGTATTTTCTCACAAATATTAATGGCAACCTTTGGGAAACATCTCATTGCCTGGCTTATAAACGCTTTATCTTGAGTCTCATACAGACAGTGAAACAACTCCAGAAATCCCAGCTGTGATGGAGAATAGTCACTGTTTCCTAATACTTCCATACACTGAAGTAACTTTGATTTTATCTTCAGTGACATTTTACAGTTAAAAGTCCTCTCCAGTTGTTTTACTCGATCTTCATTCAAAAGGCCAAACAAAAAGCACTTCATCTGTGTCAAATGGGGGTCTTTATAACTTGTGCTTTGAAGTAATGACTTCAAATCTTCAAAAGGCTGGCAGGAAGGGTTCCCAGCTTCCCAACTGCCTTTCAACATATAGAACATAGCTGCAAAAAACTCCTGAACATGAAGGTGGGTGAACACATAGCAGTTTTCATACTCTGCGTCCTTCTGAATAATATTGCTGTCCATAAAACTAGAGACATCAGATTGAGTTAACCCAAGCCTTCTGAGATTTTCTCTGTAAAACACGTAAGTCATAGTCCATATTCCTTTGGCAGCGACTTGGCACAGTCTTCTCAGCTGGGCTTGGTTGGGTAGACTAGGAGAGCCTCCATCTACTGGTGTGAACAAGCTAGAAATATAGCAGGTAAACAGAGCTGTGGTTGTTTGGCAGGTCAATGTGACATCACCACCCTTCTCCATTTGCTGCTTCAGACAAGTACAAGCGGCCCAGCACACTAGGGGGACTTGGCACATGCTAAACAGCATCTCATTGCTTTTTAGTGAACTGAATACTTTCATGGCCCACCTCTTATCTTCAAAAAACTGGTAAATATACTCCTCTCTTGCATCCTCAGACATTCCTAGTAGCTCTACATAATGGTGATTCTTCAACAACTGCTTTAGTCTCTTAGAAGTTGTGAGTCTTGTTGTCACCAATAAGGATGCCTCAGGGAGCATCACTTTCCTCAGCAAACTACTCATGAGGAAGGACACTGGGTGTTCTTGGGTCCAGTCTTCGCACAGTGCAAACTCAGGTTCTTCAAAGGCAAAGTTCAGTTCATCGAAACTGTCAATAATAAACAAGAGGCTACTTGGCTGGTACATGATTTCTTCAATGGGGCCTTCTGTGCTGGGCCAGTCCTTTGATATCAATTGAGCAAAGCTTCTCTCTTTCAGCTGGTTAATTTCTCTCCCATTGAGATAAAAAACATACTTAAACCTCTGCTGGTAGAGACTGCCCTCTGCCCAATCTAACATTGCCTTTCTCACCAAGGTTGTTTTCCCAACTCCAGCAGCTCCCTGAAGCACCACGATCTGTGGCTGTGCACCGGTTTTGACATCCACATCGAACAAGTGTTCCAACAGTTTTCTATCTTTCTCTGCAATTCCATGATGGAAATCTTCAGGCTTTCCAGCCAAAGACTTCTTGTCCCAAGTGATGCAAAATTTTTCCTTTATTCTATTTCTGTATTCTGTTCCATCACCTAAGTCAGAATGGCAAAGGTAAAAAAACAAAAACAAAGACACATGATCAAAACAAATTCTATGAAATGTAATGTCAAGAATACCGAACTTGGAATTAGGAACAAGAAAGAACATAGGCTGAAATCAGAGCTGGTTTTGATTTTTTAAAAATAATATAAATAAAAATATTCCTATAGATTTAAAACCTGTATTAGATACTGTAATAAAAACCAGAATAGATGATGCAGAAAAATGAATTTGTGATGGGAAATAAAAACTGGATTCACTTTAGAAATATTTTTTCTTCTTTGTACTTTTCCTTCTACATAGAAAAAAGATAATAGATGTGGAGAACAGAGATGTCATCCAGATTAAAAAAAAAAAGAACAGAGGCAACCATTAACAATAATAGGGAAGACCCCCAAGACAGACCTGAATCTACAGATCAAAATAATTTTCTTTGTACAAGTAAAAAGTTAATAGAAATAAACATTGAATCGTAGCTTAAATAATATTTTGAAAAAAGAAAAACATCCTGAGTGAAATAGAATGAAAATATAATTCATCTTTACTTGTTTAAGTCTGATCCCTCCTTTAGATCTCTATTAAAAGGATAGGATCTCAGGGAAGACCTCTCTGAACCTCATCGCTAGACTACTTCCCCTTTTTATATATTCTCAAAACAGTATATTTTTCATTCACAGTACATGTCACTAGCTACAATTACTTTATTTTTAAAATAAATGATGCACTTGGCTAGGGGCTTCATCATTGCATGGTCAGTGTCTAACACATTTCCGTGCACATAAGTGTCAAATATATTTGTGCAATAAAAAAATGAGAATACAATGATATAATTGAGTACTTTACAACTTTTGAATAAGGTATAACTATAGGTACTAATATCCCCCCAAATAATAACCAAAAAAGATATGAAGTTTCTGGCAATTATGTAGAATATGATCCTCTCCTGGAAAAAAGATGAACAAACTTTATGTATCTGAAAACATGTACCATATACACCAATATATTAATACTGGTTATTTCTGAATAGTAGGATTGGGGATGGGGAGTGGGAAGAGTGAGAAACTCACTTTATGTAATTTTAAAACATTTGAATCTTTTTTAAAAAAATAGCTCATTTTGCTTATGTGAAGTTTAAAAACAAAGATAAAACATAAACAAATGATAACTAAAAAATCCCAAAAAGCGAAAATAATGATTGGCCAGGCAGGGAGAAGAAAAACACTATTTACCCAAAATTAAAACCTACCACGAAACTATAGTAATTCAAACAGTGTGATATTGGTATACTCACAGAGAAAATAATCAGTAAATCATTGCTGTACTTCTTATTTTCTATTTTGTACTTACAGTATTTTCCAAAGTTCCCATAATAAATAGTTTACTTTTATCACAATTTTCAAATAATAATTTGAAGACATTTATTAGCTATCTGTGTGCAATTATCTGCACATAAGAGGGAAATAGCCATTAGGTTTGAAATAATAATAAAACAAAAATTATTAGCCATGTGATTTTTCTCATACCATAAAGATATACTTCTTTATATTGAATCAGAAATTAAGGTCACAGTGGGATGTTATATTCAAGGTCATTTAAGATAACAAGTAATTTTTCTATTTTAGTGCTTGGGATGAACTAAGTTTTCAATTATTTCTTGAATGAAATAATGTGGCTTGTTAGAATGTGGCTGGGTTAAGAATAAAGGTTTCTCACTTGATCTAATTTTCTTTCTACTGTAATTCCATTTATATAAATTGGAATTAAATTATGTAGAATTCAAAACAAAGTGGGGAAATGGTGTTAATAAACCAGTGGTCTGAAATCCCCAATCTTTTGGGCACCAGGGGCCAGTTTCATGGAAGACAATTTTTCCATGGATGTAGGAGGCAGGGGTGGCAGGGCAGGGAGGGGAGATGATTTCAGGATGATTCAATTGCATTACATTTATCATCAGATTCTCATAAGGAGCATACAACCTAGATCCCTTGAATGCACAGTTCACAATAGGGTTCGTGCTCCTATGAGACTAAAGCAGCTGCTGATCTGACAGGAGGCGAAGCTCAGGTGGTAAAGCTCCCGTGGCCTACCACTCACCTCCTGCTATGCGACCTGATTCCCGAGGGGCCGCCGACCAGTAGGGGTCTGTGGCCCAGGAGTTGGGGACCCCTGTGTTAACTATGACTGAGAAGACCTGGTTCTAGAAATCAGTTTTTATATGAACCAGTTGGTCACCACTCCTAGAATTTAATTACAGCACCATCTTTAAAGAAAGTAGATGTGATAAACTGAAAGTTTCCTCCCAATTCAGTGACTTTTAGTCCATAAAATATAAACATTAATATACCTTTGTGCGTCAGCCCTTCTTTTAGCAGGCATTCTAAACACTGTTCTCTTGAGGATCTGAATTAACAAGGCCCTGATTCTGACTTTGGCCAGGGAGTGTTTTGCTGATCCTTTTTGGGTGACATTCAGGGAACAGGTGGGGTATTAGAAGAAGTTAACAAGATTTGAACAAAAGTCCTCGGGAGATAAATCACCGTCCTGTATCAAAACTTTGAATGCCTCCCAAATCTGATGAAAGGCCTAACTACTCACCCAGCACTGCCTCCTGATCTTCTTGTGTCTCTCCAGCCTTGGCATCATCTGGTCCTATAGTCTGGGCCGACCCTGCAACAGGTTCCGATAGGATCATGATATTTAATGAAAACAAAGTGAGCTTTCATGATGGCTAGAACAGAGGCCAGCATTCACATAAGTGGTCCAATTCTATGACTATCTGGGTTTAAGAAAACTAGAGCTGCCAGAGCCTCAGACTCCATAAGCTTAGCTGAGAGAAGAAACAATGTGATACAGATAACACTGAAGTAGGAGACCTCTTGCCATGGCCCCCACCTTGTAGCTCCAGGGCAAATAGTGTAGTGTATAAGCCTCAGTTTCCTTGTCTATACTGACTTCACTACGATACGGTGAGGTGCAAAGGAGATAATAGATATGAATATTATATATATACATATATATATATAACTCTAAAGCCTTGTATACGCGTAAGGAATTCTAGAGGTCTATAATATTTCATACCTGAGAATGACTAAAAATACTGCCTTGGATTACGTCCAATAATAATTTTCAGCCCATTCCTCATATTTCAGCAAATATGTTAAATCATATTTGATTCCTCAAAATGTTGCCTAACTTATAACTTGTAGTTTTGGTGAAGGCACTTTATGGGACAATTCCTATCACTCAATTCCTTTGATCATTTCAACTGGTACAAGATGGATGAATTGCCGCCAGTTAAGGAGCTAGGCTGAGTAACAGTACTCAAAACGCTTCTGCCTTTCCTTCCTCAAATAATTCAACAAGCTCCCCATGCACAAGACCACCATGGAGCTTATGTCCCCCAACATGGTTTAATCCCTAAATCCCTCTTACAGAAACATTCCACTGGGCTCCAGGAAACACTTCCTTCCTGCCTAGCCCCCGATTTGCCCCTAGCATCACTCACAGTTGATCTCTTCTTTCGCTCTCTCACACAGATCCTTCAGGTTCATCTTGCCAAAGATTTTGAGAGACACACTCCAGGCTTTCTCTCCTGGATAATATTTCTTCATCAAATTGGCCAGGTCCTCCCGCCTGGCCTTCTTCACTTCATTCCAGGGTGTCAGGCCATGCTCAGGTTCCATGGTCTCCTTTAGGAATAACTTGAATGTATTTAATTCCTCTTTGTTTAGCTCCTCCAAATACAATAGCAGCCCAAAATCAGGAAAGAAAGAAGATGATGATGAATCTGCCATCTTGTCCAAATATTCAGGCCTCTGTGGGGGGAAAAAAAATAACCAAAAGCACATGGAATAAATGGGACACATGAAAAAGACAGATTTGAAAATGAAATACTTATATAGATTAATTTAACAAACATTTGCAGAAGCCCACTGTATTAGGCTCGGTACTGACCTAGTGTCCTCTGTAATATATCTTCTTTCACAAAGCATTCCTCTGATATAGACCACTGTACTGTATATTTATTCCATCTTCTTATGATCTGTTCCCAGTCCTACCACTTATGAGCTATATAAATAAAGGTAATTCCTCTCTTTGAACCTCAACTTACTCTTCTGCTAAGTGGGGATAGCAGAGCCAACCTCTAATTTTAGTATGGATCAAATAAGATAGGGTTCATATATCACCTGGCACAGAACTGGCTCCTCCTAAGTATTGCTAACTGTCCATCCTCATCCCTTCTATCCCCCAACAACATCTAATATACATCTCAACCTATAAAACATTGTTATTGCACCCCTGCCAACACATTATTACTCAACAAACACATGCAATTAGAATATGCCACCATCTACCTCTTCTTGTCATGTCATTTCTGGTCATAAATACATATATAATTACTGAGGGTCTTTTGTAGTACACAAGCTCCTTTCATGCACTTTCCCCAACACCACAGTTAGTCTGGGTGAGTTCAGTGTTAAAGTGCATCAAAAACATCCTCATCTCACGTCTTTGACATCAACTCCCATGACCTTACTGCTCTCTGGCAGTTTACTCTAATGCTCTCACCCCAGGCTTTGTCAATGACTACTCAAACTTTTAAGCTGCAAACTCCCATAACCCATTTTTTACTAATATCTTCCAGTTAACTGAGTGGTTTCATGCCCTTACTCGGTGACAGTTCTTCAAACATCATCAAATCCTTTTGAGCCCTGCGTTTACCCCTCATCAGCCATCTTAAGGGCCTTATTCAATTTCTTATTCAGCATGGGTGCTCCAATTAATCACTTAATCCATACTCTCCCAAGCACCATCAAGTTTTCTTAATCTGTTTTGGTGAATTGCCTGAAGAGATAGAGCTAGTAAGTGATGCAGCTGGAACTCAACTTAGATCTTTCACTAAAATTCCTGCCCTTTCCAGTCTTTCATAATGTCTCCCCCAATTCTTGCTAATATGATTGGAAAAAAAAGACGGATGGGGGAAATAAAAGTATATAGAAGGGAGAGTTTTTCTTTTAAACAGAAGGTGAATTGTCTCGAAACATATAGTAAATCTGGATTTTATCCTACAGTAATTGGTGAGCTATCAGCTGTTTTAAGGTTGTTTGTTTAACTACATGGTAAAAATATTCTAGATTACAGATAAATCTGACAAAAACAAGTCCTATAGTAATTTTTTAAAAAGCATAAAGGAAAAGATTTGAGGAAACTTCAAAAAAGAACTCTGAAATTTCTCCAGGACATAGAGAATATGGTAGGTGAGGGAAAGCAAGGCACAGAATACATCTTCCGCTTCCTTTCTAGAAATCTGCAGGTATCCCTACATGTGGGTCCATCTTTATCTTTGTCTTTCCTGTAACAAATGAGGGGCGCTCTCTTCCCTTTTCTATAGCTTATTTCTCTACCTGTGATCTAAATCTCATAAGCAATTGTTCCTGAAGGGATTTAATCCATTAGAAATCTATCTTCTTGATCTTCAACTTCTCCCTGTCCCCTAAGTCCTACTCATTAGCACTTAAATGTGCCCAAATCTCACTTAGTCTTTTACAAATATTCCCTTTACTCCAAATCCCCTTCATCTTCATAGTCAAACTTCTTCAATCTTCTATACTCTATCACCTATTATATTATACCTCCTCAATCCACTGCAATAGAACTTTTGCCACCACAATTCCACTGAAATAACTCATACCAATAACCTCCTTGTTACAAAACTCAAGGGGCATTTTGGGATTCAATTTTCCCATCTGTAAGCAGGAATAGCAAGAGTACCTACCTCTGCAAGGATTAAAAAAGCTAACGCATGCACCTAACTTTAACAAGGTGCCATATGTTAATAATACTATTTTAACAATGCCTTACATCTTGATATTTACACTTGTCTCTTTGCTGTCATAATCCCACACTTTTTTCATTTTCCTCCTCCTTTCTGGGTGTCCCTTTGAGCCGAGATCTATATGAGTCTGAACCCTATTAGCTTTCTACTATATGATATCTACAATTATAGTAGAGTAGAATATACTATAGTCTCCTTCCCAAAGGTTTTACGCTGTCCTCGAAGGAATTTGTTGTTTTGTTTTGGCTTTTTACCTTTTTAGAAAGAGGAACACATGTTTGGCACTGTTTCTCTTATAGGAAGGCATTCATTCATTCAAAAATGCCCTGAACTAAAATGGGAACCCATGGTCTATGAGGATTTTAATTTGCAAATTTATTGATGTAAATTTTTGCCTATAACAAAGCATATTTGTTCAAAATAATTAGCTCATATTAATAATGACTATATTTGTGAGGACCTAGTGTATATAGATTCTTTACAAAAATTTTCTCTAGACTTTAAAACAGACCTGAAAGTTTGATTTTATCCACATTTATAGATACGGAGTCTCAGAAATTAAGAAACTTGCCCAGGTCATAGAGTTGACAAATGGCCTATCATACTACAAAGCTCATTCTCTTTCTACTACATAGCATTGCCTTTTAATTTCACTTCATTTTCCTAGGCATTGGAAATTCAGAGTTATACAAAATCTGTGTGGCCATGCTCTGTGATAGCAGACCCTATGCTGAACACCAGACTAGAAGAGGAAGACCTCTAAATATAGCATGACTATCATCTGGGCCAGAGTAGTTCTAGGAGGACACAAAGGGAGAAGGGAATCTCACCTAGAGAGGGGAGAGATATGGAGGTCTCAGGGAGGTAAGATTTGACCTAGGAAGCCAGGTGTTTCCACCCTTTTCATATAGTCCGGATTGATTTCCTTTCTTGGTCGCTCTAATTAAATCTCCTATAGCAGTTTCCCAGCCTCAGTAGTACTGACATTTTAGGCTGGATATTTCCTTGGGGGATACTATACGTGCGTTATATGATGTTGAGCAGCATTCATGGCTTCTACCTATTTGATGCCAATTAGAACCCTGGATCTTCTACAGTTGTGACAAACAAAAAATGTCTCTAGATATTGCCAAATGACCCCAGGGCAGCAAATTTCCCCCCAGTTGAAAAAACTTCAAGAGTCTAACCTCTACTGCTAAGTGAACAACTTCGTTTTTTTGGAGATGGAGTCTCGCTCTGTCGCCCAGGCTGGAGTGTAGTGGTGGATCTCCACTCACTGCAACCTCTGCCTTCCCTCCTGGGTTCAAGCGATTCTCATGGCTTAGCCACCCAAGTAACTTGGACTTCAGGTGCCTGCCACTATGCCTGGCTAATTTTATTTATTTATTTATTTATTTATTTATTTTTGGATTTTTAGTAGAGACAGGGTTTCACCATGTTGGCCATGTTAGTCTCCAACTCCTGACCTCAAGTGATCTGCCCACCTAGGCCTCCCAAAGTGCTGGGATTACAGGTGACAGGCATGAGCCATGGTGCCTGGCCTAAATGTACAACTTCTGTCATGATAATTAAATCAAAGAAAAAGAGTAGATAGCCAAGAAAATACATTCTCATTAGATTTCAATATATTATAGAAGAGACACCATAATTGGGAGGAAATAATTCAGGGTCGTTCATTAGCACAACTTGTAAACCATTTTGACAAGAATTAATTAGTATCCTCATAATAAATCCCAGATATAGTAAGTAGTACATCATTAATACTTCAAACCAGGGAGGAGAAAACAGCAAAGAATATTCATCACAACTTAGGAAAGAAGGGACTTACCAGTTTGGACACAGTAAGGGAATTGACCAAGAACCACAATGAATATTTGAAGATATATTGTTAACTATGCTGAAATTAAAACCTCTTGTCCTTAGAATTCAAACACAAATGGTCAACCAAAAACAGAAAAATGTTTACAGGGAATATGGCAAATAAACAACTGAAGTGTAAATTAATAAAACCACTTTAAAACTGTTTGAATTAACTACTACAATTGGAGATGTCCACCCAGGCCCAAATTTTGGTTTCTAACTGTACCATTTGCCAATAAAAGGAATCAGGGCTCCTCTGAGAAACTGCTGATTCTAGGGCTGGGACAGGGAATAGATACGATGAGCCGATAGCATCTCATAGTGCCAGAAATAAGGAAAGGAAAATAATGGGGTATGCAAAAAGACCTAAGATAAAACCAGAAAGAGCTCCTGATGGCCAAAATAAATAACAGTATTGGATTATAGCCCAAAGTACAAAGCAAATGTCCATGAGTCCGTACTGATATTGACAAATGTCCGAATATATGAGAGAAAAGAGACAAATCTCTCTTAGAGAAGATTTCCAAATACTGTGTGTAGGATATTCTTCCCTCCAGGAAGTGGCGGTTAACCCAACTGCACCCCACCTCCCAGAGCGCTGACTGTGCTTATTGATTTCTTTCCAAAGAGAGCAGTATGGGAGCAGGTGGGGACAGTGGAGAAACTTTTTAGTGAGAAACCTGACAAACACTCTCCCAAGATCAAGGCTACTATTACCAGCCATAAGTCATTGTGATCGTATGTGCTATTGATACTGTGAATGGCATGTTGCCACCATGATATTCCTTCCCCAAACCCATCATCCTAGTCTAGCCATAAGAAAAAACAAAGTGAGGGACATGATACAAATTACCTGACTAGTACTTCTCAGAACTGTCAAGGTCATCAGAAAACAAGGAAAGACTGAGAAACTTTCACAGACCAGAGGAATCTACAGAGACAAAATGTTCGTTAACTATGCTGAAATTAAAACCTCTTGTCCTTAGAATTCAAACACAAATGGCCAACCAAAAACAGAAAAATGTTTACAGGGAATATGGCAAATAGACAACTGAAGTGTAAATTAATAAAACCACTTTAAAACTGTTTGTATTAACTACTAAAATTGAAGATGTCCACCCAGGACAATACTGTACTGTAATAATAAATGTAAATGTAATATTCAGGAATAGAAAAATGTAATATTCAGGAATAGAAAAAGAACACTATGGAAAAACTAGTGAACTTCAAATTAAGTGCAACTTAATTGCCTTATTGTCTTCATTGTGACAAATATACCATAGTAATGCAAGATATTAAAAATTGGGGAAATTGGGTGACAAGAAATTTCTGTAATTCTAAAAAATACTATTCTAAAATGGTTATTCCTTAAAACTGGAAATATACATACACTATGACAGAGCAATTAAAGTTCTTAGAAAATATCCAATAGAAATATGTGTGTAGGTATACCAGGAGATATACAATAACTACAGCAGCACTGCTTGTAATTCCTAAGCACTTGAAAAGATCCAAGAGTTCATCTATAGTAGAACCAATCAATACATTGTGGTAAATTCGTACAATGAAATCCTAAACAGCAAAGAAAACATATGATTGAAGCTATATGCCACTAGAATAAATCTCATAACTAGTGGAAGAAGCCAAATCAAACAAGATTATGAAGTAGCTATTATAAAAGTCCATTTCCTAATACCTCTGTGGAGATGAGGTGGAGGGGGATGAAGGGGGCCTTATGTCCTGGTAACGAATGTCCTATTCCTTGACCTGCTGATGTTTTACATGAGTGAACACTTGGTAATCATTTACCAAGCTGCATGTTTATGCTCAGTGCAGTCTTTTATGAGTTACAGTTCACACTAAAATATTGTCTTGAAAATGTTCATATCCCTAAAATGACATGATACAAATAGATCAGAATAGCAATAAAGCAAATTTATTGTGAATAGCCTATTCATAGAAGGGGAAAAAAAGCAAAAAGCAAATGGCTAACAAGTATTTCAGAAAATTTTCAAACTTAGGCAGATAGCACAACTAATGCAAACCAGGAAACAGCCCTTCTCAAAGAACAAAATGACAAAAATAAGCTTTAAAAAGCAGTACCATATAAAAGGAGTTAATATAAATGTTAATTGCTACACTCTTGAAAAACTGCATGTCTGCATGTCTACTGAGAATTTTACAAACATGCATGAGTTTTCAAACAGTATCTTCTTTGGGAAATCATCCACTGAAAAAAAAATCCTAAATACAGAAAAGAAAGTTTTGTGCATAAGGGTGTTTGTTTAGAATAGTAAATAATTGTCAATAAGGATTCAATTATAATGAATGTATAAAAATATAGCACACACTTGATTTTTAGTCATGAAAATGACCTCGTCATACAGCAAAACAGTTGGCAGGTATATGAAGATTACAACTAAGCAAAGAAAACAAAACCTCTACATAAAAAAAACCAAAATGTACTTAAAATAATTACCACAAATTGTCCTAACTCAAAACACAACTGAGTTTAGGACAATTTTTGACAATTATCTCTCATTAGAATACATTCCTTAAATAAGTGGAGAAATAAAAAGGTAAAAAGGCAATATCCATTTGCCAAATTCCAAAAAGTTAAAGAAATGAATGCCTGCCATCTGTACTTGAATTTGGCGTGTTGGCAATAATTGCTAACTTGCATAGAGAGAGCAATTTTGGGTCACTGCTGGAGTAGAGGGAGTGGGGGTGCTAAAGCACTAAAGCACTATAGGCTAGAGAGGATGACCAACGCCGGGAGCAAGCATGTGCTACCTTACTAATATTTCTTGAACTTTGCTAGGGAGAAGTGGAGAGACAGATACTGATAACCTGGAGCACCAGTGAGAGCAGCTGTTGCACCTGCAAAGCAGTTTTCAGGCGGTTTGTTTCGTTTTCAGTAGGGAGAGGGGCTAGGGGAAGACTCAGAGTGAATGAAAGACGGCAGAACACAGGTGGCGGGAATAGCTTCAGACTGAAGGACGAACACCTGCTCCTGGTTAGAGAGGCGAGGGGCTTGCCTCCATTCGTCAAGGCTGGTGAAAGTGGGGCTATTCATACCGCTTTAATCCAGGAGATTCAAGAAGCGGGCACTGCACGCAGTGCCTGCCAAATTCAAGCACAGTTGGCAGGCATTCATTTATCTCTTTGGAATTTGACAAATGGATACAGGCCACACTAGGTCTCCAGCCGAAGACTACTTGCAGGTGACCGTGGACTCGCACCCTCAAGGTCGCTTTTCCACCCTGGTCATGGCCGGCGCCATGCCCAGAAGTGTCCCACCCTGGGGTGTCCTGGCAGCTCATCCTCTTGGGCCCTGAGTCCACATCCCTTTCATTTTCCACACAGAATGTGGACGCTGGATGGACTCGCACAGAACCCAACTTCCCATTTTAGAGTGGACAAAGTACGCATCCAGAGAAGAGGAGAGTCATTCCATACCTCGGTCTCACCAGGCGTCGGTGGCAAAGGGTATAAGCGCCAAAAGCCAGGCCTCAGAAGGACAGGAAAGGATCAACAGGCATTTGCTGTTCCACCAGAAAGGGGAACGCACTCTGGCCCTTAATGCCTCACCTTCCTCCTCCCCTGAGAGAAGAGCAAACCCGCTAAGAGGGCTGCGGGCCAGCGTGGGTGGTTGGACCCCACCGCCTGACCTAGCGAATCTCTCTTCCCATTGGCTGGAGGGGCCAAGGGAGCTCTGCTCCCACTCTCCGCCTCTATGCTTGCTCTTCCACTCATTTACCGCAGAAGATTCAGTGTTCAATATAGGATCCCCTGCGCTCAGCAAACCTGTGGGCGCACGTCCTTCCTCCTTGCTTTCCCGATGTGGGAAAGAGGAAGTCGGGGAATTGAACCCCAGCTTTGAAGGACCTTTCCCAGACTGGCTGACTCCCAATAAGCAGTGTCCCTTTATTCGTCCATCTAAAATCCGTACGATTATTGAGCATCTTATTTGTGCCTGTCAGTTTTCTGGACCCTGTCTAGCAGTGAATAAAATATCCAAAGTCTTGCTCATCTAGCCCTTACCTCCATGGAGCTTACATTCTGTTGAAGGGGCACAAATAATGAATTGTAGTATACCAGGTGGTAATCATTGCTATGGAGAAAATCAGAGTGGGGCAAGGAATACAGCGCTGGGGGTGAAAAGTGGGGGTGGGTCCTATTTCTCTTTGAATAGCAAGAGAAGCCACTGCTAAGGCGATATTTGCAGAATGTGAAAGTGTGAACAATGCAGATATCTGGGAGATGGAGCATTCCAGGAGGAAGAAATAGCAAGTGCAGAGACCCTCAGTTAAGAGCCTACTCGATATATTTAAGGAACAGCTGAGTCAAATCGACCACAGTAGTCACCAAGGCTGTGTGTTGATTTATGGATAGTGCAATTTCATTCAAATCCTACATGACTAGAACTGCTCTAAGATGAATTCATGGCCTTGGCCCCTGAAGACAGTCTTAGAAGCTAATAGATCCAGTAGCTTCAGGATTGAGAATTGCCTCTCAGATGAGAAACCTCTGGATCACATGGGTAAATGGATGCTCTGTTCTGATGGCTTCCTTTTTCTAAGGATTACCCATTTGGAACAAGTTTTCATATTCATATAGCAGCCAGATTTGGGTGATTTATCCTTATTTAAGACAGCATTTCTTCAGCTGGACTCTTCATGGAGAACTTTAAGCGTTATTGGCAAAGGAGGAGCCAGTATTCGTTGGCATTAAGAAAATGTACACTCTAGGCAACTGATACTAAGGACTCAGGCATGCTAGTTAGCAAGATGGGCCCAACAACCTCAATAACAACCAGAAATCAGAAGCTTAGATTATAAAGATTCATACAAAAACTACCTCAAAAGGATAACCAAGTGTAGGGTGAGAGAAAAGGTAAACTCTTTTTAGTTTGGTTACAACATACTATATTAAATTGCTATAATGTGCTGAATATTACATTCACGAGTATGTGCATCTTAAGAGAA